>NC_000016.10:52138257-52441288 GCF_000001405.40 Homo sapiens
AGGGTTTACAAGAGGACTCGGTGAATTTGTATTTATGTAAGTCCTTGGCATATTGCTCCGGAATTATTATGCATTCCATTTATTATTGTTATTATTTTTTATAGAAGACACTTGTAGGGACTGATAGTGCTCATCCCAGAAAAGTGGTAGGTGGGGATAAAGGATCATGATCATTGTCTTTATTTTTTTCTTATTGTGATTTTTCCATTTAGAAAATTTATCGCGCATAACAGATTACATAGTTCTGGGTATATGCAGCAATTTAATACACTTACATAATTTGTAAAGATCAAATCTGTGTACTTGGGACATCCATCACCATAAACATTTGCCTTTTCTTTATGCTAGAAGCATTCGAATTCTTCTCTTGTAGGTATTTTTAAATGTACGATATATTATTGTTGACTACAGTCACCCTACTACTCTACTGAAGAATAGGTCTTATTTCTTCTATCAAATAATGTATTTGTACCCATTAATACATGCAGGTCTACTACATAAGAACAAGGTTCACCTTTCATAGAATAATGCTTTTATAAAAAATAATATCCACATTGGGCTGTGTAGTTCTTAATATGCTTTCATATACCTAGATCTAGATACAAAACCAAAAGCAGTGGATAAAAGCTACAAGAAGAGAGATTTTAGATAACAAAGGAAAATGATTTTCTATAACAAAGGACTATCTTGAGACCCAGAGAGTTTCCTATTCTGGTGTTGAAGCCAAAACCAGCCCACATCTGGAATATTAATAATAAACTGGCTTAGACTACAGAACAATTTATATTATTTGGCAGTCAGTTTAGAGTAATAGATGAAAACACAGGCAACTTGCATTGGTTCAAATCTGGCCCCATCACTGAATATCTGTGTGACCTTGGGCTAAATTACTTAACCTCTCTGAGCCTCAGCTGTCAACTCAAGAAACCAAAGCCCATACTGTCACCTACCTCAGAGAAAAGTGGAGAACAACGAATGAAAAAGAAAATGCACATAAAACAGCTAATATGATGTTTAGCACACACTGAGAACTCAGGCAATATTAAGTATTTTTAGCTAATAAAAATGAGTAGTTAAAATTTTGAATATTTTAAAAGCATGAATATTTCATTGTCCTTTAATCTTTGAAAATTACGAAAACATTAGCAAATATATTAATACATATCAGTTGGCCAAATATTTAACTGCATTATACATGTTTGTACCTGACCATTCTTGGTTAAAAAAAGAAGAGGAGGAGAGGAGGTAAGTAAAGTGTACCGAATGGCTTCCACCCACAAAGTATTGTCAGTCTTATGTACTATGTCATTGCTTCCCCAAAGATAGTCACCTATGATGTATAGTAACTCACAGTACTTAATGGATCAAGAGATTTGATATGGGCTTTTAGTAATAAATCCATAGTCCAAGAAGGGGGAATTTTCTTACAACCTATTCTCCCCAAAGAGCTATTAATAAAAAATAACTCAGAGGATATATTTCTACTAAACCAAGATTCCTGGAATATAAACCCTTATTCGAGTCACACTGAGCCCTTTATCCCCACTGAAAAAGGTCTGCAATGATTGATGAATCCTGCCAAGAGACTGTCACACATTTTGCCTTGCACCATTATGTACATTTCATCCGTAGTAAACTTTAATGTGGATATCTTTCAAGCTCTACCTGGAAATGGGCAAGTTTAAAGAAGGCCTTCCAGTTTAATAGCCCTGCAATTAGAGTCCCTATTCTGTATCAACCCGTGAAGTCACTTAGTGGGGATGCTGAGAGACCTCTACCTCTCATCTTCTCTGATCCACCCAACCAAATCCAAGCCCAAAAAGACCTGTAAACTTGGGCTCCAGAGTAGAAAGTCGAGAAAGCGGGTGTCAACAGGAATTTCTCCTGATTGATGGTTAATTTGGAAACTCTATGAAAAGAAGAAATTCAAAGGAAATGTTGAACTCACCTGAACCAAAGTTATAGCTAGTAATTATTTCACAGCTTGGATAGAACGGAATTGAACAAGTGAGGTTTAATATATCAAAATGTGGCTAGCAATTTTAATAGTAATGGAATGTCACTTTGTAGCTAGAGAGGATTTTTTGAATTTATGTCAAAGGACTGATACAGATGGAAGAACTTATTTGGAAAAATAAGTAAAAACAGTTTCTCTACCCCCGCCACATTCATGGTTTTGCTTTCCACAGTTTCAGTTACCAACACTCCAAAAATATTAAATGGAAAATCCCAGAAAAAAAAATTCATAAATTTAAATTGTGTACCCTTTTGGGTAGTGTAATGAAATGTCCACCATCCAGCTCTGTGGTGCCCAAGAAGTGAGGCATCCTTTTGCCCAGCTTATTCACACTGTATATATTTGCTACCCAGCTGTTAGTCACATAGTAGCCGCCTCAGTTATCAAATCAGAAAAACATAGTATATATAGGGTTCATTCAGCAAGGGCAGTTTCAGGCATGCACTGAGGGTTTCCCAGGAATATTCCCTGCAGATTAAGTGTGGACTACTGTACTGTAATTAGGGTGAACTTGGAGCTCCCAAAACTCAACCAACCCACATCAATGGCTTTCCGTTTATTGTTTGTTTGTTTTTTAAGACAGGGTGTCACTCTGTCATCCAAGCAGTGATGCGATCATGACTCACTGCACTCTCAACCTCCCAAGCTCAAGGAATCCTCCCACCTCAGCCTCCCGAGTAGCTGGAACTACAGGCACACAACACCATGCCCAACAATTTTTCTTTTTCATAAAGGCAGGGTCTCACTGTGTTGCCCAGGCTGGTCTCTAACTCTTGGACTCAAGTGATCCTCCTCTTGCCTCAGCCTCCCAAAGTGCTGGGATTACATAAGCCACCATACCTGGCCCCTTCTGGCATTTCAAATAATTTATCTCTAACGAAACAAGCAAGCAAACAAATTCTTTTCTTTTTTTCCTGGGAGATTCAGTCTTGAGAGCAACACATGCACACACATTTAAAGATTTTTCAAGATATCTATGAAACTAAAAACATGCTTGTGACAGTTACTGACAAGTCAATCCGATATCTTAATAGAAACCAAAAATAAAGCTTCCGTGTTCCCTGTTGCCTGTTCCTAGTTCACCTTGCACATTTTTAAGAAGTAGCTAAAATACTGCTGCTCTTACTGTTTAAATTGCAAGTCTTGTTTAGGATACTGTGACGGGTAGAGGTATTGTTAATTAAGTTCACCTTGAATAATTCACTTGCTGCCTTGGGGTTGTGGGGTGGGGGGACATTGTGTTTCCTCTGGTGATGCCATTGAGATGCAGCTCCAGACACAGAAAAAGGACACTAATAATCTATGTCTCCAGAAGCGAGAGGCAGCTGCCAGAGGTGGACTCTCTTTTCCCTGGACTTAAATGTATAATTTTCCCTTAGGCCAAAAGAAATTGCTCCCTAGCCACACAGGACACACTGGAGGGTCATTGGGAAATGATTTTTGCTCTTTCGATATCTATGTATGACCAAGAGAAAGACTTTCTTCACAAGCCCTAGACCTAGAGTGATTAAAAAAAGGGTTTGTGTTATATTTTACCACTCTTTAAAAATAAATAAATAAATAAATAAAAATTTTATTAAAAATAAAAATCTTAAATAAATAAATATTCTTAAAATTCCATAAACCAGTTCAATAACATGCCCAGGGTTAAAGTTCTCTGCATGTCTACATCTATTACTTAACCAAGAACAACTCATGTATTCTGCCTTCCATGGGAAATTATTCTTAAAAACAATATAAAGCCCACCCTCTGTGAATTCAGGAGAGGTTGGGGTCCTTGGGGAGGAAGGAAGTTGACGAGCAAGTCAGAAATGTCACTTGGAGAGCATGCCATTCATTCCGCCGAGCTCAGTAATCTCTACAGTTAAAGGGGCAAGGCATGCTCTGCCCCATGATAAAACGTGAAATGAATTTATACATTTATAAATAAATAATCTGACTCTAATTGGCATTTCTAAGCTCTCTCTGGGTAGCAGCTTTCTTGTTAACAAGCTACCACATTTGACACCGATAATATAGGAGCGTCAAAAGAGAAATTGCAAGTCTGTTTCTAAACTCTTTATTTAGTAATAGAAACTGAAAACTTTCTTCTAATACTTGCACCTCTGGACTGACATATAAAGAAGTTAACAATAAAAGTTTTCAAGTACAGCTAAAACTGGAAATAGGAACCAAAACATTCTCAAAAAAGAAATAGTAGATTTTTAACGATACATGTCTTTGGAAAAGTGACTGATTTCTAGGACTGGAGCAGGAAACATTCAAAATGAACCTGGAAGCATCTTATAGTAGCAAAAAGTAAGGAAGTGCCAAAAAAAAAAAGAAAAAACCAGATTGATGAGGGCATGTCAAAGGATCACAGCAGACAACTGAAAGGGCTACCAAAAGCCAATGCTGGAGTAATTTGGGCAATAAAATTAAGTAGTATTGGGTTATAACCAAAAGCATAAAATAAATATCCATGTGTCTATACTGATATAAATAAATGATTGAGCACACAAATAAGTGGGGGAGAAGACAGAAGTCTCCTCTTTAGAAGAATTCTAAATGATTTATGTAGGCACTCTGCCTTCAAAAAGATAGAGCATAACTCCCCTCTTGTTAACTGTGGGTGGTGCATAATAACTTTCTTCCAAGAGTGCAGTAAGGAAGGGAAAAAAGGAATAACTTTACAGTGATGAAATCTGACCAATACTACCTTAGCCTGCTGATTAAGGACAACATCAATAATGATAAGTCATGTTCATAGTATGTACCCTTGCTACTATATGGTGAAGATGTGGTCTTCCTTCACAAAACCCATAACCCCACCCTAATGAGAAAAACAACAGACAAATTCCAGTAGAGGCACATCCTGTAAAATGCTCAAACAATACTCATCAAAATTGTCCAGGTCATCTAACATCAAAAAACTCTGAGAAAGTATCACAGCCTAAAGAAACAAGACAACTAAATATCACATGATATTCTATAGGAAATGCTGGAATAGAGAAAGGACATAAGGTAAAACTAAGAAAATCTAAATACAGTATGAATTTTACTTAATAATAATGTGTCAACATTGGTTCATTAATTATAACAAATGTATCATACTGATAAAATGTTAATAATAAGGAAAATGCGCCAGGTGTGGTGGCTCATGCCTGTAATCCCAGCACTTTGGGAGGCCAAGGCAGGCAGATCACAAGGTCAAGAGATGGAGGCCATCCTGGCCAACATGGTGAAAACCCATCTCTACTAAACATACAAAAAAAAAAAAAAAAAAAATTAGCTCGGCGTGGTGGCACATGCCTGTAGTCCCAGTTACTTGGGAGGCTAAGGCAGGAGACTAGCTTGAACCTCGGAGGTGGAGGTTGCAGTGAGCTGAGATGGCACCACTGCACTCCAGCCTGGCAACAGAGCGAGACTCTGTCTCAAAAATAAAATAAAATAAAATAAAATAAGGAAAATGGGTTTGGCTATATGGAAACTCTCTGTACTATCGTCTCAATTTTTCTGTATTTCTAAAACTGTTCTAAAAAATAAAGTCAGTTAAAAAAAGGTGCATAAATGGGGAAACGATTCACTATTCAATAAATGGTGCTAGGATAAATGGCTAGCCATATCCAGAAAATGGAAACTGGACCCCTTCCCTTACATCGTATAAAAATTAACTCAAGATGGATTAAAGACTTAAAAATAAAACCCACAACTATAAAAACCCTGGAAGACAACTTAGGCGATACCATTCAGGACATACCATGAGCAAAGATTTCATGATGAAGATGCCAGAAGCAACTGCACCACAAGCAAAAATTCACAAATTATATCTAATTAAAGAGCTTTTGCACAGCAAAATAAACTATCAACAGAGTAAACAGACAACCTACAGAATGGGAGATAATTTTTGCAAACTATACATCTAGTTTGTGATGGTCTAATATCCAGCATCTATAAGGAACTTAAACAAATTTATCAGAAAAAAACAAACAACCTCATTAGAAAGTGGGCAAAGCACATTAACAGACAGTTTTCTAAAGAAGACATACATGCAGCCAACAATCATATGAAAAAAAGCTCAATATCACTGATCATTAGAGAAATGCAAATCAAAACCACAATAAGATACCATCTTACATCAGTCAGAATGGCTATTAATAAAAAGCCAAAAAAATGCTGCTGAGGTTGTAGAGAAAAATTAATGCTTATACACTGTTGGTGGGAGTGCAAATTAGTTCAACCATTGTGGAAGACAGTGTGGCGATTCCTCAAAAATCTAAAGATAAAAATACCATTTGACCCAGCAATCCCATTACTGGGTATATACCCAAAGGAATCAGTCTATTATAAAGACACGTGCACACATATGTTCATTGAACCATTATTCACAATAGCAAAGACATGGAATCAAACTAAATGCCCATCAACAATAGACTGGATAAAGAAAATGTGGTATATATACACCAAGGAATACTATGCAGCCATAAAAAGAATGAGATCATGTCCTGTTTAGGGACATGGATGCAGCTGGAGGCTATCATCCTTAGCAAACTAACAGCAGGAACAGAAAACCAAATAGCATATGTTCTCACTTATAAAAAGGGAGCTAAATGATGGAACACATGGACACATAGAGGGGAACAACATACACTGGCTTCCATCAGGGAGTGGAGGGTGGGGGGAGGGAGAGGATCAGCAAAAATAACTAATGGGTACTAGGCTTAATACCTGAGTGATGAACTAATCGTACAACAAACCCCCATGACACAAGTTTACCTATACTGCAAACCTGCATATGCACCCCTGAACTTAAAATAAGTGTTTTTTTTAATGGTGCATAGATAGATGTGTGAGTAATAAGATTTAGTACTTATTTAGGTGAACACTCTCAAAATGTAGAGTAGAAACAAATCTAGTCTTCCCAGTCTTTTTAGTGCCTGCATGGCATCTTTGAAAGTTAATCCAATGGCCATGCAATCAATAAAGAAAATGGCTCTAGTTAATAATAGCCCATTCTGTAGACCCAATCCCATCCCAGTTCCTGAGCATGAAAGCAATTTAAAAAGGTGAGGGTACTTTGCCAAGAATGCCTTGCCTCATGGTGTACAGCAAGTGGATGAACAATGGACCTGGATCTCACACTGCAAATTTCTACTACTGAGCAAACCTATTTATTTATTATTGATTTCTCCAATAGGTGCATTTCCTACACAAATAATTATGACATCTTTGTGTTGCAGGAACAATTCTAGACACTGAGGATATAGCTGGGAACAAGACGGACAATGTCTCATGAATATATCATTCTGGGGGTGGGGCGGGAAGTAGGCAACAAGCAAATCAATTAATTTTCAGCCACTCCTACCAGTCACTGACCACCAACCCTTCACCGTCCATCAACTTTCAAACTTCTTTGATTTCTGATTCCTCTGTATCTGTAGGCAATTTTGTATGTTCTGTGATCCCATTTCTTGGATGTCATGTATGAGATCTTTCGCTGGCTCTGTAGGCAACTTGAGGAGATAGAATATCTTCTCAAAGCAAACTGAAGCAAGAAGGGGCTCTTGAATTCATAATTCAGCTTCCTTATTTTTAGAGATGAAGAAACTGAAGTCTGGTAGAGTTAAATCACTGACATAGCCAGGAAATAGGTCCCTAAAACCAACAGTCTCTGATTTAGAGTTCCTTCTCTATCTCTACAGCACCCACTATAATGTTGGAAAACCTATAAATTCATGACCTCACTCTAATATTCCATACAAATATCTATATAGATATTCCATATCTAAAGACCTCCAGGGAAATATACCAGCTTCTGCTCTACCCAGACATTCAAATATTTCTCAGTTCACACCCCAGAGAAATCTGACTCCTTTCTGCCTGTTAGGAAAGCGGAGATGAGTTAGAGAGTGAACAAAGGATAACAATAAGAAGGAGAATTTTCAGACTATGAAAGAAGCATCTTGAATATTTTCCCTTTGAAATACTGGGGCATTGTCTCCCTGGTAGAAGATATTTTCCCTGTGATCACCAGTAATTCAATTATTTCACCATGTTTTACAGCAGCAACCAAAGGTAACACCTAACGAGAAGAAACTCTGTGACACTCTTAGAAAAATATTACCTTGCCATGCCTTAATCAATTACAGCATTGATGGCTAGTATAGTTGGCAGGGCCCTGGCTCCTTTGACCTCCTGGCCTTGGTTAAAATCTGATGTTATTTTATCTGAGAGTCTAATTTGGGTGTGTCAGTAATTAACATGTATGAAGCTCAATCTACTATTAACCTCCAGTCTCACCTTCTGGATCCCAAATCTTCCTTATGAAAACCCCTACACCGTGACAAAATGCCAATGACTTTTTTTTTTGAATATTTAGATGTGTATCAGCTCCACATTAGAAAGAAAAAGGGAGGTTATGCTTCATAATCCCATTTTAGAGATGGAGATGCAGAAAAAATTGGTCAGTTAATAATTATTTGATGAGCATTTACAAACCATCATTATCTCTTTCCTACAAGAATGGATGTTGTGAAGAAAATGAATAATTAACTTAAGGTCTATTTAAATTACATTTAAATTAAAAGTGATATTTGAGAAGGTTCTGATATTATGAAGTGAAATTGAAGATCCTGTACAAATTTTATGTACAGTTGGCCCCCTTTCTCTGAGGTTCCTTTTTTTCTTTTTCTTTCTTTTTCTTTTATTATTATTATACTTTAAGTTCTAGGGTACATGTGCACAACATGCAGGTTTGTTACATATGTATATATGTGCCATGTTGGTGTGCTGCACCCATTAACTCGTCATTTAGCATTAGGTATATCTCCTAATGCTATCCCTCCCCCATCCCCCCACCCCACAACAGTCCCCGGTGTGTGATGTTCCCCTTCCTGTGTCCATGTGTTCTCATTGTTCAATTCCCATCTATGAGAACACACAGTGTTTGGTTTTTTGTCCTTGCGATAGTTTGCTGAGAATGATGGTTTCCAGCTTCATCCATGTCCCTACAAAGGACATGAACTCATCATTTTTTATGGCTGCACAGTATTCCATGGTGTATATGTGCCACTTTTCTTAATCTAGTCTATCATTGTTGGACATTTGGGTTGGTTCCAAGTCTTTTCTGTTGTGAATAGTGCCGCAATAAACATATGTGTGCATGTGTCTTTATAGCAGCATGATTTATATTCCTACGGGTATATACCCAGTAATGGGATGGCTGGGTCAAGTGGCATTTCTAGTTCTAGATCCCTGAGGAATCGCCACACAGACTTCCACAATGGATGAACTAGTTTCCAGTCCCACCAGCAGTGTAAAAGTGTTCCTATTTCTCCACATCCTCTCCAGCACCTGTTGTTTCCTGACTTTTTAATGACCGCCATTCTAACTGGTGTGAGATGGTATCTCATTGTGGCTTTGATTTGCATTTCTCTGATGGCCAGTGATGATGAGCATTTTTCCATGTGTCTTTTGGCTGCATAAATGTCTTCTTTTGAGAAGTGTCTGTTCATATCCTTTGCTCACTTTTTGATGGTGTTGTTTGTTTTTTTCTTGTAAATTTGTTGGAGTTCATTGTAGCTTCTGGTTATTAGCCCTTTGTCAGATGAGTAGGTTGCAAAAATTTTCTCCCATTCTGTAGGTTGCCTGTTCACTCTGATGGTGGTTTCTTCTGCTGTGCAGAAGCTCTTTAGTTTAATGAGATCCCATTTGTCAATTTTGGCTTTTGTTGCCATTGCTTTTGGTGTTTTAGACATGAAGTCCTTGCCCATGCCTATGTCCTGAATGGTATTGCCTAGGTTTTCTTCTAGGGTTTTTATGGTATTAGGTCTTATTTGTGGTTTCAACCAACAGGTGTGGAACCCTTGGATACAGAGAGCCAACTGTACTATGCCATGTTTTATAAGGGAGTTGAGCATCCCTGGCTTTTTATATCTGCAGAAGTCCTGGAATAACCCCCCTTCAAATAGAGAGAGACAATATACATGATTATCAACCATGTTAAAAGTAAAAGAAAAAAAAGACTGGAGGGAAATTACATAACACAATAGTGATTATCTCAGGATGTTAGATTTTTTTCTGCATTTTAAACTATTCTCCAATTGTCAAGTTTTCCACCATGAGAAAAAAATATCTTAAAAGGTATTTTTTAAAACTTTAAAAGATAGATAACTAAAATCTTAAGAGATTTTTTTTCTCCCTCGGTGCACTAGAAGAATCCAGTCTCAACCCTGCCTACCCTCCTTCATTCCACTGGTTAAGGGGACCCTTCATAAATCTGATAACACTTGAGATGATCTACATCTATTCTCTGTGTTCCACCCAGGGCCTTACATTGAAAATAAGGCTGTTGCCTTGCTTCCTGTTTGCTACCAGATTGCTGAGTGGCTTTGTTTAGCATAATTTCCCGAGGCACTTATTGCATGAGTGATATCCATGATGGAACCTATAAATTTATATGACAAATCAAGGAAATGTTTCCTCACAAAGCTTTAAGAGGCAATATTATTTAAATCCGTCTTTTCACATGAGATCATGTAATATATATTGCTGGAGTAATTAAGAATGAAGACATAAACTCATTTGATGTGTACTGTAAAGATGAAAACACTCAGAAATTATTGACTGTCCATAGTTTACCACCTCCAGCCATTTAGAGAAAATGCAATCAGTTTAGATGTAATGTGGCAGAGGTTTGAGTGAGAATAAAACTAAGTTTATGTCCCTTAACCCTATGTGAAATTCATTAACTAGCCGGCTCAGGAAGTTCTCTAATTTAAGAAAGCTACTTCATTTCTTAAATGAAGTGACTGTGTCTGACTTTTCTGCTTCTCTTTCAGTTTTCACAAATTTTCCCAACCCATTTTGTCTTCATCATCACTTTTTGTTTCAAGGACTAAGGGAGCTAGCTGTCAAGGCACTCATACTTTAGGCAGAGCTATGACGTATAGCACAATGCCTCACTAAGGGTAACTCACTTAGAAAGACATTCAGAAACCAAGATAGGGCCTCCATCTGGTTGTCAACTCAGAAACTCCCTTTCCTCTTGTGTATTTCCTTACTACATCCTGAGCTTTGGAACATTTTCTTCAGACTGTACTACTAAGTTTACTTTGATTCTAGGTTTCTGAGTGTTGTTACTTCGCCTTCAACTGACCTAGGGCTCCAAATATTTGGGTAATGAGAGTAAAATTTCTTGAGAGTCACACCTACCATGTTTTAAATTCCTCTTTGCACACATTGAAAGGGGACTGTTGCTTCTTTTAGAGTGATAATAACTATGGATTATTAAAAGGACCTACAGAGTGTCCAAAACCATTAATTTAAAATTTTAAAAAGACCAGGTCAGGAGAGTGTTACTTTTCATTATGAACCTCATAAAACTATTAAGTCTTGAAACTACATTGTTGAATTATTTGATTAAACAGAAGCCAAGATAAGACAGAAAGAGAAAGACAGAAGGAAAGAAAGAAAGTTAGGCATCTAAGTATTGTATTATAAATTTAAGGGTAATCACCGAAAGGCCTGACATACAAACGGTAAATCATAGTTTCCAAACCAGCAGAGAAAACCAAAATGAATAAACAGAATTCTGTCAATCTACAGGAGTCATGAGAAATAAAAAAAGAAAATTCTAAGAAAGACCGTAAGAAACTGAAAACCAAAGACAGCAGAAATATGGAAAAAATCAGTATATTGATTCAAGGAAATATCAAATTGAACAAACAAAATCCAATTGTTTTCTGCTTAGAGAGACAGAAGTAAAGGAAAATGATACAGAAAAGTTGAGAATGAAGAGCTGATAAAAGAAAAAGTTATATACAACATTAAAACTGGTATAGTGATAGTATTATCAAAATAAAATAGCATTTAAAGCAAGAGATTCTAATAATAATAAAATGGGGCATTGCATAGTGAAAGAGAAATAACCACCAAGAAGATATGGAAATCATATGCATCTAATATATGCATCTTAAAAATAGAAAACAAAACATGGCTTAAAGTTATAGGGTGTGAGATATTAACAAACTTCCTTTAGAAACTAATCAACAAAATAGCCAAAAACAAAACAAAAACAAAAATATGAAAGATACAATAACACAATCAATAAGCTTTATTATTAGTGACATAGTTCATACTTGAAGTGACTCTCTGTAGAAGGCCACTTTGATTTATAAATTCATAGACATATCTATCTTTCTATTCATCTGGAGATAGAAAGAAATTTTACCCAACAAATAGGAATATGCATTTTTAAGTACATTTGGAACATTTAACTTTTAAAAATATATTTATTTATATATATAAATATATATATGTACATAATTATGTTTATTCATTTTGGTTTCCTCTGCTGGTTTGGATGCTATGACTTAGAGTTTGCATAGCAGGCCTTTTGGTGATTACCCTTAAATTTATAATACAATACTTAGATACCTAACTTTATTTCTTTCCCTATCTTTAAATAAACATATATGTATATATACTTTATATGCATATAAATATATATTTGTATATATTTTTATATGCAGATAAATATGTATTTGTATATATTTAAAGGTATTGATATATTAATACATATATACATATTAAATATATGTTAAACACACACAAATATATATTAAGCATACATACATGCAACTAAAATGCACACCCTAAGTAAGCCATTGATTAAAGAAATTGCATTGTAATTATAGAATATTTAAAAAAAGACATAAACCTTATATATAAAAAATACTTATGGGATGTATAATACATATGTCCAGCAATAAAAAGAACATATAACTAGCTCCTACAAATCCAAAAGAAAAAGACAAACAAAACAATAGAAAAGGAAGCAAAATATTTGACTAGGCATTTCACAAAATAGAATAAATATCTAAATATTCAATAAACTTATGAAAGCATGAGTTCTACTTCATTAGTCATCAGAGAAATGCAAATTAAAACCACAAATAGATACCACCACACATCCAGAATGCCTAAAAGAAAAAAGGAAGTACTAACTGTTGGCAAGAATTGACTTGAACTTTTATAAATCGCCAGTGGGAAAGTTAAATGATGCAATGATTTTGGAAAACTCTATGACAGTATTGACTGAAGATGAACATTTGCATACTCTGTGACCAAGTAATTCTCCCAAGTCATATGCAACAGAAATGCACACATATGATCATTAAAAGACATGTACAAGAATATTCATGGCAACTATTTTTTTTTTTTTTTTTTTTTTTTTTTTTTTTTGAGACGGAGTCTCGTTCTGTCGCCCAGGCGGGAGTGCTGTGGCGCGATCTCCGCTCACTGCAAGCTCCGCCTTCTGGGTTCACGCCATTCTCCTGCCTCAGCCTCCCGAGTAGCTGGGACTACAGGCGCCCGCCACTGCGCCCGGCTAATTTTTTGTATTTTTAGTAGAGACGGGGTTTCACCGTGGTCTCGATCTCCTATTATACCAAAACTGGAAACTAACCAAACGCTTGTCAACAGGAGAATGGATTAACAATAGAATCCTAGATTGCAATAAGAATGAATAATTTACAACACCATGCAACAATATGAATGAGTCTCACAAAATGTTTAACAAGAGAAGCCAGATAGAAAAAGATACATGATCTATGATCCCATTTATCTAAAGTTAAAAGAATGAGCCAAATAAATTAATAATTTTAGAAGTCAATACAGTATACTTGGGTGGCTAGTGACTGGAAGGGTGTTGAAAGGGGGGCTGCAATCAGGGTACTTGCTACACAGGTATGTTCAATTACTGAAAATGCATAGAGCATTATATTTGTATACATTTGTCTTTATTTATATTACATATTTGTGAAAGTTTATTTTAAAATTATGGGGTGCAGCTAAATACTTAGAAACAAAAGTATAGCCTTTAAATGCGTGTATTAAAAAATAAGAAAAACAAAAGCAAGTAATTGAATCCCATCTCCCAAGAAGATATGTTCAAGTCCTAATTCCTGGTACCTGTGAATGTGACCTCATTTGGAATTAGAGCCTTTGCTGATGTAATCAAGTTAAGATGAGGTCGTACTGGAGTAGGGTGGGCCCTAAATCCAATATGATTGCTGTCCTTATAAGAAAATAAGAGACACAGACAGAAGCATAAGAAGAAGGCCATGTGAAAATAAAACTAGAAATTATAGTTATACTGCCAAAAGCCAGGGAACATCTAGGTCTACTAGAAGCTGGAAGAAGCAAGGAAGGATCCTTCTCTAAAAGTTTCAGAGGGAGTGTGGCCCTGCCAATTCCTTGATTTTGGACTTCTAGCTCCTAGAACCAGGAGAGAATGCATTTCTGTTTTTTAAGCAACCCAGTTTGTGGTTCTTTATTATGGCAACCCTAGAAAATTAATATGGTAATTAATTTACTAAGCAAAGCTACAAAAGGAACTAAAAGTAAATCCAAAGGAAATAGTTTAAAAATAATAAAACAATAAAGATAAAGTAAATAAATAATAGTTAATAATAAAGTTAATAAGTAATAAGAACTGTAATTAATGAAAGAATAACAGTCAAAAGTAATAGAAACAATAACAAGAATAAAAGGTGAACCTGTTGGGGAGAATGCTTAAATTAAAAACAAACGAAAAAACTCGGCCAGGCATAGTGGCTCATGCCTGTAATCCTAATACTGTGGGAGGATCACTTGAGCCCAGGAGGTCGAGACCAGCCTGGGCAAAATGGCAAGACCCTACCTCTCCAAAATTTAAAAATTATCTGGGCATGTGCCTGTAATCCCAGCTACTTGGGAGACTGAGGCGGGAGCATCCTGTGAGTCCAGGAATTCTAGGCGGCAGTGAGCTATATCAAGCCACTGCATTCCAGCCTGGACAACAAAGAGAGATCCAGTTTCTAAGTAAGTAAATAAATAAAGAAATAATAATAAGATTGAGTAAATGAAAGAGAAAGGCTACTTACAGTAATATTAGAAATAAAAAACTACCAAACAACAGATACAATAGATTTTTAAATTTTAAAACATGTTTTAACTTTTCATTTTATAAGAACTTCAGAATTAAAAAAAATTAAAAATTTTTGCAGGATTCTGGTATAACCCTCATCCAAATTTCCTTAACTGTTAAAATTTTGTCAAATGTTAACATAGTACAAAGATCAAAAACAAAACTTTCGTGCAATATCATTAACTAATCTATAGACTTAACCTGAATTTTACCAATTGTTTCACAATTGGCCTTTATCATGCTCAGGATCTAATCCAAGTTCACACATTGCATTTAGTTGCCATGTCTCCTTAGTTTCTTCCATTCTGAAACAGTTACACAGTCCTTTGTCTTTTATGACTGATACTTTAGAAGAGTACTGGCAAGTCACTTTGTAGAATATTTCTTAATTAGAGTTTACCTAATATTTCCTCATGATCAAATTCAAGTTATGCATTTTTGGCAACAATACTGCAGAAGTGATGTCATAAATTCAATATGCCTCATTACTGATGATGTTAACTATCATCATTTGGTTCAGATGGTTTCCCTACTATAAAATTATCTTTTTTCCTTTATAATTAATGAATATCTTGAGGAGGAAACACACTGAGATGATGCAAATATTCTGATTATCATCATAATTTCTCCCAATAATTTTAACATCTATTACTTCTCTCTGCAATAATTATTGCTGTGGTATTTGTCAAATGGCGATTTTCTGTTGCATCATTCATTTTTATCTATTAGTTTATTAATTGAAAGGCACTAGTTTAACAATTGAAGTATTCCTTCAGGAAAACCTGTCCGTTCTTCTCCACTTATTTATTTAATCAATCAATCATTTGTTGACATCTATATAGACTCATGGATATTTGTTTTATTCAGTGAATTATCATAAAATACTATCATTATTTAGTTGCCTTAATTACTCCAGATATGGCTATTGGGAACTCCTGGATGAGTTTCTGTGTATTTTAAACATGCTTCTATCAGCGTTTTAGCACTTTTTAACTTTCTGGTACCACAAGATGCTTTAAGTTTTGTTATACTTTGCTGACCTCAACTGGGTAATCAGCCATTTCTTCATGAAGCCCTGGATACTTTTATTGGAAGATGGATTTAGTAACAAGATCTTAAAATAAATAAATAAACATAACCCACTTTATGTCAATTTTTTAAACGTATGTGAAATAGATAATATTTTAGGAGGGAAAAAAATAATCAGAATAAACTCAAGAAGACTGTCAACTCCTGCAACTAGTCTCAGAAACCAGCAATAAGTAGGTAAAGCTATCCAGATAATTTTTTTCTTTACATTTATTTATTTATTTTTGGTAACAGCTTTATTAAAATATAATTCATATACCAAACATGTCCTGTACATATCCTGTATCACGTATAAGATTTTAAGTATTTCTCCCCATTTTGTGGGTTGTGTTTTTTCTTTCTTGACAGTGTCCTTTAAATCACAGTTTTGATTGAAGTTCATTTATCTGTTTTTTCTTTTGCTGCTTGTGCTATTGGTGTCATAACTAAGAAACCATTGCCCAATTCAAGCTGAGAAGATTTAGCCCTATAGTTTTTGAGTGTTTTAAAGTTTTAGTTTTTACATTTAGGTCTTTGATTCACTTTCTTTTTTTTTATTTTTTTAATTATATATATTTTTCATTATACTGTAAGTTCTAGGGTATATACGCACAACGTGCAGGTTTGTTACATATGTATACATGTGCCATGTTGGTGTGCTGTACCCATTAACTCGTCATTTACATTAGGTATATCTACTAATGCTATCCCTCCCCCTCTCCCTCCCCACCCCACAACAGGCCCCAGTGTGTGATGTCCCCTTCCTGTGTCCAAGTGTTCTCATTGTTCAATTCCCACCTATGAGTGAGAACATGCAGTGTTTGGTGTTTTGTCCTTGTGATAGTTTGCTAAGAATGATGGTTTCCAGCTTCATCCATGTCCCTACAAAGGACATGAACTCATCATTTTTTATGGCTGCATAGTACTCCATGGTATATATGTGCCACATTTTCTTAATCCAGTCTATCATTGTTGGACACTTGGGTTGGTTCCAAGTCTTTGCTATTGTGAGTAGTACCGCAATAAACTTACGTGTGCATGTGTCTTTATAGCAGCATGATTTATATTCCTTTGGGTATATACCCAGTAATGGGATGGCTGGGTCAAATGGTATTTCTAGTTCCAGATCCCTGAGGAATCGCCACACTGACTTCCACAATGGTTGAACTAGTTTCCAGTCCCACCAACAGTGGAAAAGTGTTCCTATTTCTCCACATCCTCTCCAGCACCTGTTGTTTCCTGACTTTTTAATGATCACCATTCTAACTGGTGTGAGATGGTATCTCATTGTGGTTTTGATTTGCATTTCTCTGATGGCCAGTGATGATGAACATTTTTTCATGTGTCTTTTGGCTGCATAAATGTCTTCTTGGTTCACTTTCATAAATTTTTGTATGTGATGTGAAGGGATCCAAATTCATCCTTTTGCATGTGGATATCCAGCTATCTCAGCAACATTTGTTTAGAAGACTATTTCCCCCTCCCCCAAACCCCCACCAGTGGAATGGTTTCATATCCCTTAGAAGAATCAATTGACTGTAAATGTGAAGATTTATTTCTGGACTCTCAATTTTATTCCATTGATCTATGTATCTATCCTTATGCAAATATCATAGGATATTGATTACTATGATTTTGTAGCAAGTTGTAAAATCAGGAAGTGTGAGTCCTACAACATTGGTCTTTTTCAAGATTATTTTGGCTATTCAGGGTCACTTTCACCTTCATATGAATTTTAGAATCAGAGTGTCCATTTCTGAAGAGAAAGCAGCTGGGGTTTTGATAGGGATTGCACTGAATCCGGAAACAATTTGGAAAGTATTGCCATCTTAACAATATTGTTTTCTGATCCATGAACATGAGATGTCTTTCCCTTTATTTATTTAGTTTCTGCAACGTTTTATGGTTTTCAAAATATAAGTTTTGCACTTGTTTCTCTTCAGTTTATTCCTAAGTATTTTATTCTTTGACACTATTATACATGGATTTTTTCCTTAATTTTATTTTTTGATTGTTTATTATAAATATGTAGAAACTGAATTTATTTTTGTACATTGATCTCATTTCCTATCACCTTGCTGAGCTCATGTATTAGTCCTAATAGTTTCTTAGTGGATTCCTTAAATGTGACATTATGTCATCTGTGAATAGATATAGTTTTACTTATTTCTTCACAATTTGAACACCCTTTGTTATGGATTGAACATTTGTGGGCCCCTTCCTGATGCCCTCATTTAACTTTAGTTACTTCCTTACTGCAAATACAGCCACAGTAAGAGTTAGGGCTTCAACATATTTTTGAGAAGTGTCTGTTCATATCCTTCACCCACTTTTTGATTTTTTTTTTAATTGTAAATTTGTTTGAGTTCTTTGTAGATTCTGGATATTAGCCCTTTGTCAGATGAGTAGATTGCAAAAATTTTCTCCCATTCTGTAGGTTGCCTGTTCACTCTGATGGTAGTTTCTTTTGCCATGCAGTAGCTCTTTAGTTTAATTAGATCCCATTTGTCTATTTTGGCTTTTGTTGCCATTGCTTTGAGTGTTGTAGTCACGAAGTCCTTGCCCATGCCTATGTCCTGAATGGTATTGCCTAGGTTTTCTTCTAGGGTTTTTATGGTTTTCGGTCTAACATGTAAGTCTTTAATCCATCTTGAATTAATTTTTGTAAAAGTTGTAAGGAACGGATCCAGTTTCAGTGTTCTACATATGGCTAGCCAGTTTTCCCAACACCATTTATTAAATAGGGAATCCTTTCCCCATTGCTTGTTTTTGTCAGGTTTGTCAAAGATCAGATGACTGTAGATGTGTGGTGTTATTTCTGTGGGCTCTGTTCTGTTCCATTGGTCTATATCTCTGTTTTGGTACCAGTACCATGCTGTTTTGGTTACTGTATCTTTGTAGTATAGTTTGAAGTCAGGTAGCATGATGCCTCCAGCTTTGTTCTTTTGGCTTAGGATTGTCTTGGCAATGCAGGCTCTTTTTTGGTTCCATATGAACTTTAGTTTTTTTCCAATTCTGTGAAGAAAGTCATTAGTAGCTTGATGGGGATGGCATTGAATCTGTAAATTACTGTGGGCAGTATGGCCATTTTCACGATATTGATTCTTCCTATCCATGAGCATGGAATATTCTTCCATTTGTTTGTGTCTTCCTTTATTTCCTTGAACAGTGTTTTGTAGTTCTCCTTGAAGAGATCCTTCACATCCCTTGTAAGTTGGATTCCTAGCTATTTTATTCTCTTTGTAGCAATTGTGAATGGAACTTCACTCATGATTTGGCTTTCTGTTTGTCTGTTAATGTTGTATAGGAATGCTTGTGATTTTTGCACATTGATTTTGTATCCTGAGACTTTGCTGAAGTTCCATATCACCTTAAGGAGATTTGGGGCTGAGATGATGGGATTTTCTAGATATACAATCATGTCATCTGCAAACAGGGACAATTTGACTTCTTCATTTCCTAATTGAATACCCTTTATTTCTTTCTCTTGCCTGACTGCCCTGGCCAGAACTTCCAACACTATGTTGAATAGGAGTGGTGAGAGAGGGCATCCCTGTCTTGTGCCAGTTTTCAAAGGGAATGCTTCCAGTTTTTGTCCATTCAGTATGATATTGGCTTGGGTTAGTCATAAATAGCTCTTATTATTTTGAGATATGTCTCATCAATACCTAGTTTATTGAGAATTTTTAGCATGAAGGGCAGTTGAATTTTGTCGAAGGCCTTTTCTGCATCTATTGAGATAATCATGTGGTTTTTGTCATTGGTTCTGTTTATGTGATGGATTACGTTTATTGATTTGCATATGTTGAACCAGCCTTGCATCACAGGGATGAAGCTGACTTGATCATGGTGGATAAGCTTTTTGATGTGCTGCTGGATTCGGTTTGCCAGTATTTTATTGAGGATTTTGGCATTGATGTTCATCAGGCATATTGGTCTAAAATTCTCTTTTTTTATTGTGTCTCTGCTAGGCTATGGTATCAAGATGATGTTGGCCTCATAAAATGAGTTAGGGAGGATTCCCTCTTTTTCTATTGATTGGAATAGTTTCAGAAGGTATGGTACCAGCTCCTCTTTGTACCTCTGGTAGAATTTGGCTGTGAATCCGTCTGGTCCTGGACTTTATTTGGTTGCTAGGCTCTTGATTGTTGCCTCAATTTCAGAGCCTGTTATTGGTCTATTCAGAGATTCAACTTCTTCCTGGTTTAGTCTTGGGAGGGTGTGTGTGTCCAGGAATTTATCCATTTCTTCTAGATTTTCTAGTTTATTTGAGTAGAGGTGTTTATAGTATTCTCTGATGGTAGTTTGTATTTCTGTGGGATCGGTGGTGATAACCCCTTTATCATTTTTTATTGCGTATATTTGATTTCTCTCTCTTTTCTTCTTTATTAGTCTTGCTAGTGGTCTATCAATTTTGTTGATCTTTTCAAAAACCAGCTCCTAGATTCATTGATTTTTTGAAGGGTTTTTTGTGTCTCTATCTCTGTTGGTTCTGCTCTTAGTTATATCTTGCCTTCTGCTAGCTTTTGAATGTGTTTGCTCTTGCTTCTCTAGTTCTTTTAATTGTGATGTTAGGGTGTCGATTTTAGATCTTTTCTCCTTCTCTTGTGGGCATTTAGTGCTATAAATTTCCCTCTACACACTGCTTTAAATGTGTCCCAGAGATTCTAGTACATTGTGTCTTTGTTCTCACTGGTTTCAAAGAACACCTTTATTTCTGCCTTCATTTCGTTATCTACCCAGTAGTCATTCAGGAGCAAGTTGTTCAGTTTCCATGTAGTTGTGCGGTTTTGAGTGAGTTTCTTAATCCTGAATTCTAATTTGATTGCACTGTGGTCTGATACACAGTTTGTTGTGATTTCTGTTCTTTTGCATTTGCTGAGGAGTGCTTTACTTCCAATTACGTGGTCAATTTTAGAATAAGTGCAATGCAGTGCTGAGAAGAATGTATATTCTGTTGATTTGGGGTGGAGAGTTCTGTAGATGTCTATTAGGTCTGCTTGTTGCAGAGCTGAGTCCAGGTCCTGGATATCCTTGTTAACCTTCTGTCTCATTGAGCTGTCTAATGTTGACAGTGGGGTGTTAAAGTCTCCCATTATTATTATGTGAGAGTCTAAGTCTCTTTGCAGGTATCTAAGGACTTGCTTTATGAATCTGGGTGCTCCTGTATTGGGTGCATATACATTTAAGACAGTTAGCTCTTCTTGTTGAATTGATCCCTTTACCATTATGTAATGGCCTTCGTTTTCTCTTTTGATCTTTGTTGGTTTAAAGTCTGTTTTATCAGAGACTAGGATTGCAACCCCTGCCTTTTTTTTTTTTTTTTTTTTTTTTTTTTTTTTGCTTTCCATTTGCTTGATAGATCTTCCTCCATCCCTTTATTTTGAGCCTATGTGCATCTTTGCACCTGAGATGGGTCTCCTGAATACCACACACTCATGGGTCTTGACTCTTTATCCAATTTGCCAGTCTGTGTCTTTTAATTGGAGCATTTAGCCCATTTACATTTAAGGTTCCTATTGTTATGTGTGAATTTGATCATGTCATTTTGATGTTTGTTGGTTATTTTGCCCATTAATTGATGTGGTTTCTTCATGGCATTGATGGTCTTTACAATTTGGCCTCTTATTGCAGTGGCTGGTAACAGTTGTTTCTTTCCATGTTTAGTGCTTCCTTCAGGAGCTCTTGTAAGGCAGCCCTGGTGGTGACAAAATCTGTCAGCATTTTATTTCTCTGACAGATTTTATTTCTCCTTCACTTATGTAGCTTAGTTTGGCTGGATATGAAATTCTGGGTTGAACATTCTTTTCTTTAAGAATGATAAATATTGGCCCCCAATCTCTTCTGGCTTGTAGGGTTTCTGTTGAGGGACCCACTGTTAATCTGACAGGCTTCCCTTTGTGGGTAACTCGACCTTTCTCTCTGGCTGCCCTTAACACTTTTTCCTTCATTTCAACCTTGGTGAATCTGATGATTATGTGTCTTGGGGTTGCTCTTCTTGAAGAGTATCTTTGTGGTGTTCTCTGTATTTCCTGAATTTGAATGTTGGACTGCCTTGCAATGTTGGGGATGTTCTCCTGGATAATATCCTGAAGAGTGTTTTCCAACTTGGTTCCATACTCCCCATCACTTTCAGGTACACCAATCAAATGTAGATTTGGTCTTTTCACATAGTCCCATATTTCTTGGAGGCTTTGTTTGTTTCTTTTTACTCTTTTTTCTCTAACCTTGTTTTCTCACTTTATTTCATTAATTTGATCTTCAATCACTGATACCCTTTCTTCCACTTGATTGCATCAGCTATTGAAGCTTGTGCATGTGTCACAAAGTTCTCGTGCCATGGTTTTCAGCTCCATCAGGTCATTTAAGGTCTTCTCTACTCTGTTTATTCCAGTTAGCCATTCATCTAATCTTTTTTCAAGGTTTTTAGCTTCCTTGCAGTGGGTTCGAACATCCTCCTTTAGCTTGGAGAAGTTTATTATTACCGACCTTCTGAAGCCTAGCTTCTCAAAGCCATTCTCTGTCCAGCTTTGTTCCATTGCTTGTGAGGAGCTGTGATCCTTTGGAGGAGAATAGGTGCTTTCGTGTTTAGAATTTTCAGCTTTTCTGCTCTGGTTTCTCCCCATCTTTGTGCTTTTATGTTGGTGACCTACAGATGGGGTTTGGTGTAGATGACCTTTTTGTTGATGTTGATGCTATTTGTTTCTGTTTGTTAGTTTTCTTTCTAACAGTCAGGTCCCTCAGCTGCAGGTGTGTTGGAGTTTGCTGGAGTTCCACTCCAGACCCTGTTTGCCTGGGTATAACCAGCGGAGGCTGCAGAACAGCAAATATTGCTGCCTGATCTTTCCTCTGGAAGCTTCATCCCAGAGGGGCAGCCGCCTATATAAGGTGTCTGTTGGCCCTCCCTGGGAGGTGTCTCCCTGTTAGGCTACATGGGGGTCAGGGACCCACTTGAGGAGGCAGTCTGCCCGTTCTCAGAGCTTAAACGCTGTGCTGGGAGAACCACTGCTCTCTTCAGAGCTGTCAGACAGGGATTCTTAAGTCTGCAGAAGTTGTCTGCTGCCTTTTGTTCAGCTATGCCCTGCCCACAGAGATGGAGTCTAGAGGCAGTAGGCCTTGCTGAGCTGTGGTGTGCTCCACCCAGTTCGAGCTTCCCAGCCACTTTTTTTACCTACTCAAGCCTCAGCAATGGCAGATGCCCCTCCCCCAGCCAGGCTGCTGTCTAGCAGGTCGATCTCAGACTGCTGTGCTAGCAGTAAGCAAGTCTCTGTGGATGTGGGAGTCCCCAAGCCAGGTATGGGAGAGAATCACCTTGTCTGACGCTTGCTAAGACCTTGGGAACAGCACAGTATTTGAGTGGGAGTGTCCCGTTTTTCCAGGTAGTCTGTCACAGCTTCCCTTGGCTAGGAAAGGGAATTCCCCTGAACCCTTGCACTTCCTGGGTGAGGTGATGCCCTGCCCTGCTTTGGCTCACACTCCGTGGGCTGCATCCACTGTCCAACCAGTCCCAATGAGATGAACCAGGTACCTCAGTTGGAAATGCAGAAATCACCTGTCTTCTGTGTCGATCCCGCTGGGAGCTGCAGACCAGAGCTGTTCCTATTCAGCAATCTTGGAATGCCCTCTATACTTTCTTATTTCTTTAACCATGGTTTCCTTTAGTTCTTTGACTATATTTAGCATGGCTACTTTGAGGTGTTTCTGTTAAATTTGACATCGGGTTCCTTTTACTGACAGTTTCTGTTCACTGCTTTTTTCCTAGTTTATGCATCATATTTTTCTATTTCTTTGCATGTCTCATAATATGTTTTGAAAATGGGACATTTTAGATATATATTTTTTTGCAATTCTGGGTACTGGTGCCCCACTTTTGGGGATTGTTTTTGTTGTTTGCTTGTTCATTTTGCTAGTGAATGACTCAACTATTTTAGTGAAGTCCATTCCTCACCATCACCCCTGTAGTGTACAGGCTCTGAAGTTGTTCCTCAGGGAGCACAGCTTTGAGTATGTCCACAGTCACCTGGGAATGACAATGGTTTGGGAAAGGTTCTTTTTTACTATCTTTCTCTGTGATCATATTCAGAAGTTAGGCTTCATGATCATACCCAGAACTAATGGCCAGATTATTGTTCTACTATTTTCAACAATGCCCTGGGGCATAAATTGTTCTAGGGCATAATTGAATCCACAATTAAATATGGGTCCCTTAGCATGGGTAGTTTTTGAGACCAGTGTTTGAAGTTTGAAATTGATCCAAAGAAAGTCTCCTTAACTGTCTCTTTCTTTAATTCTCTGGTAAAGTAACTGGCCTAGTATTTAGCTTGTTGTGTTCACCTCCCAACCTCTGTAGATTTTGAGAGCAACACATTTAGGCTTGAACTTCTCCCCAACTCCATTTCAAAGTCTGTTCCACTGGGGAGGCTTTGAAGCTCTTAAGTTCTGCCTCTCTCCCTGGGTAAAATCTCTGAGCCACTAACTCCAGAGTTAGGAGCAAGGTTAGTGGCCTGCTTCTCTCTGAATAACAGCTCTGCTTTCAGATCAGGACACTGAGTGAGGCCTGTAGCCTAGGGTCGTCTTGGCTTGACTTTGCTGGTGTGGAGCCTCCAACCTATGAATGAGTGGAGTCACAGTGATGGCGACCCGGTATTCTCAGCATACCATGCCTGACATAGAGCCTCCGCCCTGTGAGTCGGGGCTTGGTGGAATAAAGAAGCTCTCAAGCCTCTGCTGCACTCACCTGAAAGTTAGCTGCTGCAGCGTATAGCTGGGGAGGATAAGAAATGCCAGAGATCTGCTCCTCCCGGGAAAACCTACCTTTCAACTTGAAGCTCTGGGAATAGGGAGTCCTGTGTTCTTGAATGCACCTGGCTTTAGTGAAGTTTTGATCATGCTGAGCTGAAAGGGAAGGGAGGAACTGGGTCATGGTTCAAATGCCACAGATTCTCACTATTCTGACTGAATTTTACTAGGTATTCCTGAATAAATGTTTTTTATTTGCTATATGCACCTAGAAAAATTTTCAGACTTTAAAATGTTCCTTTTTTAAAAAATAAAGTCAGTTTATACTTGTTTTGCTGGGAAGCAGTTTCACAGAGCTCATAGTGTTTTCATTTCAGAGGTAAAATTCCCCTAATTCACTTTTATAATCCAGTAACACCATAATGCATGAGCAAGCAAAGTCCATCAGAGAAAGTAAATTATAAACCAATCTTAATTTAAACTCCCAATAAGATGCTAACAAAATGAATTGCACAGTTAGTTTTTTAAATAATAATCCTACTTGAACATAATGCATTATGCTAGAATTCAAGGATGGTCTAATATCAGATCTATTCATCTTAAAAGATAAAAGCAAGCCACAGAATAATACATGCTGTATGGTTCCATTTTTATACGTTTAGAAAGAAATAAAATTATATGTGTTTTCACAAATATGTTATGTATGTAATAAGTGTAGTACAAGTAGAAAAATAGACTATACATATAAAATTTCATCATAATGTTTACCTCTATGGAGGAAAGAAAGGAGAATGAAATAGTAGAAGTGGGTATAGGAGACTTCAACTTGATCCGACAAATGTTTGTTAAAATGTAAAAAACATTTTTCTCTATATTTATATTTATATGCTAAAATGATAGATAGATGATAGAGATAGATAGATAGACACAAAATACACCAAAAGTGAGTGTAAGCATTTCAACATATTCTTATATAATAGAATCTAGTTATAGTATTCAAATATGAGGCATACATGATGAAAAATTTAGGAAGGATTTTTCTACCCTTCATATAAAACAAACTAGAATTAAAATCTCTGTTCTGATTGTTCAGCCATACGATTTTGGGCAATATTTTCTGTTTCTGAACTTCAATTTCCACATATGCAAAAGAGGAATAAGAAAACCTATCTTCCAGACTTTTTTCTACATGTGTAGAAAATACTACTGATGAGTCCTACCCATTGGACAAAGTTAGAGCCCTAAATCAGATGTACACCACAGCGCCTGTTGGAACTGGATTATCACCTCTGACATTTCAAACACTTCCTGGGATCATTTTCCCCTTGAACTATTTGCCTCCTAAGTGAGAGGTGTTTTGAACCACATGGTCTTGAGTTAAATTCCCAGCTCTGCAGCTTATCAGCTAAGGAACCTTGTACAATTCATTAAAACTTATTTGTGTCTCAGTTTCCTCATCCATAAAATGGAGTTAATAATCCCTACTTCAATCAACAGATGAATAAAGAAAATGTGGTATGTACACTCAATGGAGTACTATTCAGCCACAAAAAAAGAATGAGATCCAGTCATTTGCAACAACATGGATAGAACTGGAGATTATTATGTTAAGTGAAATAAGCCAGGCACAGAAAGACAAACATTGCATGTTCTCACATATGTGTGGGATCTAAAAATCAAATCAATTGAACTCATGAGCATAGGAAGTAGATTGATGGTACTAGAGGCTGGGAAAGGTAGTGAGGGGTCTGGAGGGAAAGTAGGGATGGTTAACGGGTACAAAAAATTGGAAAGAATGAATAAGACCTGCTATTTAATAGCACAATAGAGCAACTATAGTCAATAACCACTTCATTGTATATTTTTAAGTAACTTAAAGAATATAATTAAATTGTTAAAAAAGAACCCTACCTTTATGAGTCATTCTGAGATTAGAGATAACATAGGCAAAATACTTAGCACATAGGAGGTACACAATACCTAAGAATCACTATTAATATTATCATGGTTATTGTTCCTATTACTATTAGTGGACAAGAGCATCTTCTTCATACATATCAAAAAATCACTACTGATGTATATGTTCTATTCAGCACTATATCATCTCCATTAAAAGACCATTTATAAAATGTGCCCACAACATTGGTTACCATCACATAGATACATACTGACTTTTCAAATAGACATGCAACATTAATCTCTCCTTAATGGATGTCTCCTTCTTCTAGCTTAGGTTCTACTCTAGATTGGTGAAGAATTTAATGTCCTATGGCCGGTGAATTCTAATAAACACATAGCTTTTACTAGGTCCAGCTGCCTAAACTCAGCTCCAAAAGAGGAACACTACCCAAGCCAGAGTTATTGATCTAAGAGAGATTTATTTCAGATTGTTTCACAAAACAGCAACAGGCCTTGGATCTAAACCTGTCTCAGTGTTGCTCCAATCACCCTCTGAATTATTGACAGGACTAATTAACCCAGCAATTGCTTAGTGATAATTGCAATCTTTTCTTAAGCAACACATCTGATCCTCAAACCTAGATTTGCTGAGAAACCTAAAGAGGTAGGAAAATAGTCACATCTAAGCCAAAAACTCCCATCTACAGCAAGCATCCTGTCAATTAAACTCCTCTATCCCTCAGAAAGGACACATGTCAATTTTAATAAGAATTAATCTTTTAATTTCAATTTTCCTTTTTGAATCTTGAGGCTAGAAATGTACCAGAAGCTGATGAATGAGTCACTCGGTAACCACTGCTTTTGGGTCATGGAAAGCTTTTAAACACCCCCAGAAATGCACAGATAAATCTTTTGATGAAATACTTCCAATTCTTTAGAGACATTTTTAGCAAACACAAATGTTTATCCCAAAGTGCTTTCAGTGCTGTCAGCACAAGTTTGGCATGTTTATAATGCAGTTTGCATCAAGCTCAAGTCCAAAATCTGGGCAGTTTTCAGAGAAGGCACCCAGAAACCGTATTGTCTGCATTATTCACAACACTGGAAGATCAATAGCTGCACTTCACCAACGAAGCTCCAAAGCCCAGCGAGGAGTCATTTTTGACACAGTGAATTTAGCGATAATGATGTGTTCCTTTGCGGAACCCAAAGGGCGGTATTCTCAGGTTAACAAAGACGATAATGAAGTAGCAGCCTTCAGGCCAGAGAATACCACCTGGGAACCATTCTTCTTGGGAAGGAGCTGCGTGGAAACACAATATTCAAGAGCAGAAAAATCACAGTGAAGTTACTGCATATACCAGGGTTGCAGTGAAGGAAAAGTGTTTATAACAGAGCATCAAGCCTCAGGAGGGGATCCACCAACCTCCTCCCCTTCTCATCTAGCAGCCCATCTGTAGCTTGCACACCCTGAAGTCCTGGGGGCTACTACAGTGCTGCCACAAAGAAAGCACAGCCTGCAGCATTCTTTTTTCCAAAGTGACGAGTTTATCAGACATGACCAGGTAGATGGTGTACAAGCAGGCACTAGTGTAACCACTGGGTGTGTATACAGGTGGGCTGGGAAACTCAAACAAGGCTAGTCACAAGTAGATTGTTGTGTCCAGACTACAAGTTAAAACCTCCTGAGGGCAGATGGTACCACTTTAGCCACCCTTGAAAGTGATTCTTCAAGTAAGAAATTTAGAAACAAAGGTGTTAGGTGAAAATAGCCTGGCCAAAATTATGGGTAAACCATTTAAGATTAGCTAACCCATTAACTTCAGCAAAGACATAACACTAGTATTAGCAATAATAGAAACAAACCACCATTTCTTGATTGTCTACCATGTGCTGAACATCATTCTAAGTATTTTATTTCATTGATCCTCCAATGGGACATGAAAGATGTATAATACTTACACCCACTTTCATGATAAGAACTCAAGTCCTGTGAACAATGGTTCTCAAAGTGAGGTCCCTGGACCAGCAACATTAACACCTGCAAACTTGTTAAAAACTTTAATTTTCAGGCCCAACACCAGACCTATTGAATCACAAACTCTGGTGCTGTGACCTAGCAATTTGTGCTTTAACAAGTCTTTTAGGCAATTCTAATGGATGCTAAAGTTTGAGAACAGCTGTGCTGAGACAAAGGTTCTCAGAATCTTGGATACACATTGAAATCTCCTAGATAGCGATTAAAACTACTAATAATTTGATCCTACTTCTAGATATTCTGATTTAATTAATCTGGGGTGCAACTAGGGTATCAGATCTTTAAAAGTATCCCAGGTGCAGCCCAGGATTGGAGCCACTGCCCTGGAAGCTAATTTTCCTAAGGTTCCCCGAGAATAATGGAAACAATGAAGCTAAGATTCAAAGGCAAGTCTGAGCCAATGTGCACTCTGCCCATGCACACTTGCTGCTCAAAATGTGTCCAGGACCAGCAGCATGTGCATCAGCCAGGAACCTGCTAAAAATGTGGAATCTCAGCTCATACCTCAGATGTATAGTAACGCAATCTACATGTTAACAAGATCCCTGGATGATAAGCATATGTAATAAAATTTGAGAGGCAGGACATTAGCATGGTAAATGCTAATTATACCATGTAGTCATCAGTGTTGATTTGTTTAACTATCCTTGTCAGTATGGCAGATAGTATTTTAAGATATTGACTAAGACTTTCCCCCCAACCCAATTCCTTTCCCCCACTTCTTTATACCCATGACTCTTCTGATTCCATTTATAACAGAAATAGCTGCTTGGTGGAGGCAGAAGGAGGCTTACACAGCCTGAAACAAAGAAGTAAACTGAACATTTTAACATATGTTTTAAATGTAAAGTAGAGGCAAAAAGAAAGAGAAACAAAAAGATAAAAAACAAATATCGAAAACCATCACTTTTCAACTACATAAGCTAGAAGACAAAATGTCTTTGAAATCCAGAACCAAGGCTGAAAGACCCCACTACAAAATTAATGCTATAAATGATAGATCGAGAAAGAATGCAAGATGAGGAAACAGCCATTCACCACCCCAAAGACGTTAAGAATATGTCAAGCAGGAGAATGAGAAATAAACTGGGTTATATCCATACAATAAAACACTCTATAGCAGTGAAAATGAATAATGGAGCCACAGATAGCTGCATGAATGAATTTCACAAGTATAATGTAGAGAGGAGAGAAAAGTAAATTGCAGAAGGATATATGGTTAAAATTTTTAAACGTACCAAATAATACTTTACATTGTTTAGGAGTATATACATTTACAGTTAAAGAATAACCCAAACATGTGAAAATGATAAGCACTAAATTCTGAATAATGGTCACCTCTGAAAAAAAGGGAATATAATTGGATCAGGACATACAAGGAGCTTTCAAGAACTACTAATATTCTATCACTTAAGCTGGAAGGTAGTTACATGAATCATTGTTATAGTACTTTTGCTATATGTTTGTATGCAAAAATATTTAGTTGCTTGCTTGTTTGTTTCATAAGAAGAGGGAAACAACTCTTTCTTCTCCCCGGGTTCTGGAATGGGGACAGAAACCCCCATGTTTAAGAGAAAACCACAACTACAGGCAGTCAAATTGTTGTGCTCCTAGAAGAGCCCTTTTCCACATTCTGAGAGCTTTATTAATTTCTGTCTATACAAAGTAAAATTAGGCCGATCAGATTGCACAGATGTGTATCAACACACAACCACCAGGGGTGTGAAATTTGCAAAAGTTGGTAGGGTGCTTGAAAGAGTAAATTCTTACTTCCGCCTTCGAGATGTTTTATGAGTTGCTACATGGTCTATTAGTGCCTCAGACTGGGAAATGAAACAGAAATGATGTCAAAATGACTCTACCACTGAACCAATAACAAAATGCTTTTAAGTGTTTATTCGGTGTCAAACACTGTTCTAATCTTATTGGATTAGAGCATGGATTAATGCTGTTAAGAACTCACAGTAATCCTATGAGATAGGCACTATTATTGCCCTAACTTATAGACATAGGAAGGCCATGTATTTGCTTAAAGTCACAAAGCTAACAAAAGTCATAGCCGAGATCCAAACCAGGTCACCTGTCTCCAGAGCTCACTCTTAACCACTTCACAACAGTGCCTTCCAGAAATTATCAACATAGAGATCTTGGCTCAATAAAAGAAAGATCTTGCTAATAATTAAAAACTATCTCAAATGATAGAAAATACATTACATGACTGAGAGCTCTATATATCTAGAAGAATTCAAACCTAGATTGAAAAGCAACCTCACTGGTTAGAAGGTCGTTTTAATTCCTTTAAACTAGAAGAGTGATCCCTGTATTAAGAGCATCACCTGTACCTTATTAGAGATGCAGACTCTAGGGCCCCACCCCAGATCTGGGGGAAGCAGAGCCTATAGTTTAACAACATTCTCCAGAGGAGAAGCATTATTCTGAATTATCAGATTGTAAATTCCTGTCCCCATCCTACATAAGCCTCCTAAATCCAAATTGTTGGATTTCAAGATATTTATACACATATATGTATATATATATGAAATGCTCAGACAGTGGATAAAACATTATTTCCAGGTGTGTCTGTAGGGTGTGTCTGGAAGAGATTGGCATTTGAGTCAGTAGCCTAAGTAAAGAAGATCCACCCACGCCCTATGTGGATGGGCACCATTCAATCCATTGAAAGCTAGGATAGAACAAAAAGAAGGGAGAATTCTATCTCTCTTTCTCTTTAAGCTGGAACATCCATCTTCACTTGCCCTTGGATATTGGAGCTCCTGGTTGTCAGGCCTTTGGACTCAGACTGAATTACACCACCAGCTTTCTTGGATCTCTAGCTTCTTGGCCTTCATAATTACGTGAGCCAATTGCCATAATAAAAATCTCTTCTTATAACTACCTATCTGTATATCTGGATGTGTAGATATAGTTACAGATATCCTGTTTGTTCTGTTTCTCTGGAGAACCCTGACTAATACAGAGCATATATATGCTTTCAAGTGCTTTGGATAAGCAGTCAGATTTGGAAGTCCATGGTTGGGTTGCCCCCTAAGAGGATCCCGCCATTCCTGAGACTGAGTGATTCTGGGTTGCCCCTTTTCATCTTCCATGGGGTCCCAGATCTGACCGGGTAAGAGAAAGATTTCCCCAGTCACCTACTGGTAACACTGCACACAGAAAAGGCCCTGACAAGGGCTGCATGTCCTACTGCTTGCAGGGTCCCTGGATCATAAAACCAAGACCTTTTCTTTATCAAACACCACAACTGACAAAGTAACACACATCCCTCAGATGCTCACTCTTCTGAGAAGAAAAGAAAATGAAGCCTTGATACAGTGAACTTGCTGTGACTTCTTCTGGATTTGGAAGCTGCCTCTTCTACCTGCTCCCTGAGCTGGAAAGATACCACCCACAAACCAAAGACACAAAGGGACCTGCTGTGTCACCTTCAGAACATTCCCCAACTTAGGCTGAAGATAAGGGACTGGTTGTCTTTAGCCAGACTAGAGGGTCAGTCCAGATATTTTGCTCCATGACAGATTAGACCCTTGAGCTAGAACCTCCACCCCACTTTCAAGAAACAAATAATTCCAAAATTCTCTGTTCTTCTATATTTTTTTCCTCCCTACCCAGTTCTTTCCCCTCTTTCATACATTCTCTGTGCATCTGTTCACATCCTTTTATTTCAAAGCAGTAAGTAAATGCAATGGTACTAAATGCAAGTAGAAATTAAAAACAACCAGTTAATCATAAAATTACTTGTTCATCTGGCTCCCCTGCTAGACTCTATGCTCCTTGAGGGCAAGGCCTGTGGCCACTCTGGTCATCATTGCAGTCCAGTACAGAGTCAGAACATACTAGTTAACAAGTAAATATTTTTGAGTGTGTAAATAATGAAATGAACAAGTTAATGAATGGATGAACAACTTAAGTGAAATTAGAAAGATAAATCCCATTGGAAGAAGAACCACATGATAGTTCAAAAGTCAGGAATCATGGGGATAAAACAGGTCCAGATTCTAAAACCAGACTGCCTGAGTTTGAATCTGGGCTCTTCCTCTTACCAACCATGTGTTCGGGGCAAGTTTCTTAAATTTGGGATAAAAATGGGATGATAATAGTATTTTCCTCAAAGGGCTGCTATGAGAATTAAATGAGATTTTATACATAAAGACTAAGAATGGTGCCGTATACATAGCATGTACTATATATGTGTTTACCGTGTCATTTTATTATCTCTACATCAATTTTGCTCTAATTTGTGAAGATAAAGAACACTGAGCCCATAGCAAACTCTTCCAAATCAGTATTGCCTTTGAGGAATCATAGCTAGAATGTCAACGGTCAAACTCAACCTAGACTTAAGGATAGGGCGGAAACTTGGCAAATGCATACAACTCTTGTGCTTTGGCAGTTGGAAAAAGAAGAAGAAATGTTAGAGGAGAAATGTAAGCTCATAATTATAACATAAAATAATATCTGTGAATGAAAAGGAAATTGGCTCACAGGCAATAACAAGATCAAGAACCAAGAAGTCCCATTTTGTTGTTGTTTTGCTTTCAGCTTTGTTAATGTTGTTTTAAAGCCCATTATGAGCTCCTCAAGATTCCAGAAATTCACCAAGTCCTGATCCAGGTCTTTTGAAATGGAGGAAAGGGGAACAAAGAATTCCAACCCTAAAATTCTACTATGGGCTACCTGGAGGGGGCAGAGCTCCCCTGCTTCTTTGCAGGCCTTCATCTCTACAGAAAAGGTCAGGCAAATGGGTCCCACATCATTCAATCCTAACTGCTCCTTCATAGACTTCAGTTTCTGCCTAATGTGCTTGTCTGGGTCTAATTTCATGATGAATGTGAAGAAAGAGTGAGTGAGAAAGAGGTGTTTATAAGGAAAACCTAACTAGAGAATAAGCCAGTTGTCAAGGGTCAGCTTTTACCTAGTTAAAATGAACTAGGGTCAGTTCTTTAACTGGACTCAGATAAATTAGCAAAAATACCTCCATAGACACAGTGTCTCCCATCAGGATATAATCTTATGCAATGAAAATAAAAGAGATTAATTTTATTGTCAAGGGAAATATCCTCAGATTCCAGCATGACGACTATATTTTCACCATGGGACACATTTTTTTTTCTATTAGCTGAAGCTCTTCCAATGCAATATTCTACTGTTGTCTTTGAAGGGAAATTAATATATTCTCACCAAGTTTCTGTTTATTTGGGACATAAGACGTGGGCAGAGAGGAAGGATTTTCATGCAGGTGTTCACCATAAGAAAATTTCACTCATTCCCTAATGGCCATTGCAAGCTCTTGTGGCCAACAGTGCCTTTAGTTAAACACATCACCCTTCTCAGAAAAAGAGTCTTGAAAGTCTTTCTAGCAGAGGCAGTGGTTGGTTGCCTTTCCACCATCTTAAGGGAACCATATGGAATCATGATTGTCTTCCTAAATTGTTCCTTTTCTTCTTCATTCAATGATATCGAGTGAGCTCCTACTGGGTATTTCAAATAATAGAATTTATCTGCAAATAAAAGTTGCATCTACTGAAGGCATAGAAGCTTTAGTGCCACTGTTGGATCTGGGCACCCTGCCAAGGCTATGTTTTAGTTATGTTGAGCTGTTTTCCTGGGTGAAGCCATCAGAAGTAGCTTCTGTCCCTGCTCCTGCCATAAGGGATTAGAACAAGGTCATCGCCAAAGGGAAGTGCATAAGGAAACTCAGCAGATTCTGATGCAGTTGAAAGGGAATTTGTCCAGTAGAAGCTCCCCATTACTGAGAGGAAGAAGACGACCCAAGATAATTCTCACTGGGGAAAGTGGGAATGTCAGGCAAACATAGAAAATGGCAGGGAATTCAGCTCATGTTCCTACCCTTAAAGAAGATGAAGACTCTTTTTTTTGAGTGGGGGGTGCTTCTATAGGCACCCATGAGAGAGGAGAGACACCCAAGAGAGGACAGGCTCCCATAAGAGAGGAGAGACAGAGTCTAGAGTGTTACTGTGGCTGTTGGGACAGATTCTAGTTCCACCCAGGGTCTTCACAGATCTTTCAATAAGTTTTAGTCACCCAAAGCAATTGAAAATGGTTTGGTTCTTACACCCTCAGCTACTTAGCTGAAACTGTTAGAGCTATCCAGGACTAAAGAATTCTCCTAACTTCAAACTCAAGAAAACCCCAGAAAAAGTGTGTGTCAGGCACTGAGGCCCAATGCTTTAGGTGCATTATTTCAAGAGGTTTCCCAGCATGACTTTGAGAAGAGTGGCAGTATGCATATTTTACAGGCGAGAAGCTTGAGGCCTTGAGAGATTCAGTATTTTGCCTAAGGTCATCCAAGCAGCAAGTGAAAACACAAACCCAGACTGTGGGACTCCAGAGTCCATGCTTTCAACATCGTGGGTTAATCCACCTCATCATGTGTGTGATTTTATTTAATCCCATAACAAAGCTGTGATGGGATTTATAACCTCTCCTTTAGATATAAAGAGAAGTTGATAAACTTGAGTCAGTGACATTGCTAGAATGGGGACCCCAGGTTTACCTCCCTTGGGAGCCCAAACATTTAACCACTCTGCTTAAAGAAGGAAGGAGGGAGCGGTTTTCCTGAGTGGAGTACAACCCAGTTCTTCAAGGACACATCTTTACCAAGAATACTGGTGGTGGAGGTTGGTTATTTGCATCTTTTATTTTAAGCAACACAGAGGAGGCTGTGGCACTGGGTTTTGCATTTCCTACCCATCATCACTGGATATTTTCCATGGGAGCCTACTGATCCCTGGCTTCTGGAATTATTTCATGCAAAACACGTCCAGCCAGAGGGTGGCTTAATTGTCAGAAGCTCAATCCCTCTGATATTTTAAGTTTCGTTTCTTTTTTTACTATTATTTTAACAGTTCGTCTCGGTTATTCCTCATTTAACACTGGTTCAGTTAATGGAAAAGAAAGCACTTAAGAGAAGGAATGACCTAGCTAGTGAGCTGGCCATTGTATCTGAAATAAAAATCAATTGCCCACTATGCAGATTGCAGAAGAAGCTGCAAATAAAATTACTGTAAATTTAATTAAAACATTCCAGCCAAGTCCATACATTTGGTATTGATTACCTGGCCTGCAATTTCAGGGAGTTAATTAACACAGCCTCCGCCTGGACAACAAGGGAAAGCCAGTGCGGGTGCTGGTTGTCCTAGCAACAGGTAGGCGGAAGCAGCTCACAGATTAAATTGAAAGGAGATACAGAATCTTATTGAATTAGACTTAAATGCAATGATTTAAAAATATGAAGAGGCAACTTAAAGTTCAAAACACACTTCATGAGCATGAGTCATTGTGTGTTTCTAATTGGGCCAGAATGGAGTGTTTCTACTGAAGAATGGGAAGATGGAGTGGGGAGGGTGAAGGTGGGGTTGCTTCAGATAATCCATTACCATGAGAGTGCTCCCTCAGCACTGCAGGCTCAGGGTACCGACTCCTGCAAGAACTCGTTTGGAAAAAGAAAATAGGCCTCATGAATAATCTCCTAGAACCATAAGTAGAATGAGTAAATTTATTTTCCCTTCCCTAGAGCAGAGGCAATGGGAAGGAAGTACATTCTGGTGAATTGGTTCCTAGAATCACCACCATAGAAACTGTGTCTATACCCTGTGTTAATACACATGCCCCAGGCCGCTGCCTGGGTGTGCACCCAAGGCTCTGTTTCTGGCTTCGTTTATGTTAGAGGTCTTGATTTTTTCAGCCAAAAGTAGATTTCTGAATTTTGTGCTTAGGTGTGGGATGATTGATGATGGTAGTCCCAAAGAAAAATTGGCCATGTACTCACAAAGAAGTGACATCATTTTTGCATATAAGGAACTGAACCCCACCTTCACCAGCACCACCACCCATAACACACACCACCTGTTCATGGATACTTGGAAATTCCTCATTGAGTGTGATATTCTAGCTTAGAGCTTTGCACCCTCTTAATTAGAATGGCAATCATTAAAAAGTCAGGAAACAACAGGTGCTGGAGAGGATGTGGAGAAATAGGAACACTTTTACACTGTTGGTGGGACTGTAAACTAGTTCAACCATTGTGGAAGTCAGTGTGGCGATTCCTCAGGGATCTAGAACTAGAAATACCATTTGACCCAGCCATCCCATTACTGGGTATATACCCAAATGACTATAAATCATGCTGCTATAAAGACACATGCACACGTATGTTTATTGTGGCATTATTCACAATAGCAAAGACTTGGAACCAACCCAAATGTCCAACAATGATAGACTGGATTAAGAAAATGTGGCACATATACACCATGGAATACTATGCAGCCATAAAAAATGATGAGTTCATGTCCTTTGTAGGGACATGGATGAAATTGGAAACCATCATTCTCAGTAAACTATTGCAAGAACAAAAAACCAAACACCGCATATTCTCACTCATAGGTGGGAATTGAACAATGAGATCACATGGACACAGGAAGGGGAATATCACACTCTGGGGACTGTGGTGGGGAGGTGGGAGGGGGGAGGGATAGCATTGGGAGATATACCTAATGCTAGATGATGAGTTAGTGGGTGCAGCGCACCAGCATGGCACATGTATACATATGTAACTAACCTGCACAATGTGCACATGTACCCTAAAACTTAAAGTATAATTAAAAAATAAATAAATAAATAAATAAAAGAGGGGCGACATGATAATAATGATGATGATGAAGAATAAAAATTCCTAATTACCTAGTGTCTACTACATGCCAAGAACTATGCTGCGTCGTTTCCTATATGTTATTTTATTTAATATTCACAATAGACTCTGAGAAACAGGGGGTTTCTCATGTTGAGGAAACTCAGATTCACAAAAGGAAGTTAACTCACCCCAAGTAGCCCCACTGGTGTATGGCAAAGCTAGGATTTATAGTCAGACCTGTCTTTCTCCAAAGTGCCCTTTCCACCATACAGCAACTTTCCAGGTTTTGCTATGAAACACCTCCTCTCCCTTATTTCTTATTAAAGTGGAATTTTACGTGGAACTCTGATTTATAAATTCTGTAAACTCAGAGAGGGCCCAGGGACAGAGCCTACCTACTCGGCTGCCCACACACATATCCCAGCCATACAGAGGGCCCTGAGATGCAGCAGCCTTTGGCTCATATACACAGGGGTGTGCTGGCACTGGCCAGCATCCTAAGTCCTTACTCAGCGGAGAGATCAGCCTCAATGGGCAAATCCACTGCCTGCCTCTCCATCCCTAGCACTACCGTTGCAGAATTCCAGATGGTGCTGTCATTGGTTTTTGTCTCACTAAGGATCACCAACAAACAAACACATAATCCAATGAAAAAGATGGAGGAATAGTACTCCAAAATGTGTTTTAGCTGACTTTAGAGAGGACATTTTAGGAGCTCAGTTACTTACCTAACACATTTGACTAAAGGTCCAGAGTTGACATTCACTGAGCTGATGAGCACAGCCCTGGAAGAGAAGCCCCGGACCCAATATTAGCCCTAGCTCTGCACATGGTCTGCGCATCTCTGGATGAATCACTTCCCTCTTTGGGCCCCAACTACTTCCTTTGTGAAAAAAAAAAAAAGAGAGAGAGAGAGAGAATTAAGCTGTATTATACATCGCAATGGCATACAATCTCCATCACAATGTTTGCATGTAACTTCTGTACTGATTGTTTTTTAACAAACTTATTTAAAAGGAAATTTGATATCCTTACTATAAATAAAGAACTAAAGTACTTTTCTAACATGTCTTCAAACAACTACATCATCAGTAAAATGAAAAATGGAGTATTTGTTTTTTAGCACCGAAACAAATTGCAAGTGCCACCAGTGGTTTGTGCCCCAGGCTTTGAGAAATGCTGGGAAAATTAGGAACTTTTAGTTCTAGGTTATTTTAAGAGCCTCTTCTAGCTCTGCCCTTCGGAGATCTACACTTCTGCTTCAGGATGGTAAGGGAGATGGGTTAGCAGTGTGCAAGGAAAAAGAAGAATATCCAAGACAGGTGAGGAGAGCAGATAGTCTACAGATAACCATGGTGGGGATGGCTGGATGCATAAAGTTTGCCAGTTGGAAACAGCCACTAAGATTGCATTAACACTTACTGACACACCACCACCTGCCCTTGGGATTTCTTCTACCCTAGAGAGCTGAAGGGCAAGCGAACACATAGATCATGAGATTAATCCCTACACACAGTCTCCCAGGGCAGTTCTAACATCTCTACAAATTCCATTCAAGATCCTCCTCTATGCTGACGCTCAATACAAACTTCTGCACAGAGCTGTTCTTCAATTCACAAACTGAATTTCACCCATTATCATATCTATGAGATAAGTGGATGCCTGATGCTCATTTTGCAGATGAAGAAACTGAGTCTTGTGGAAAGAAATGAGTCATATTGCACACAGTGACTTTTAAATCCAGCCCCTATTTCCCCAAGTCACAGCTGCCTCCAAATGCGTACTACTGTATGCATCTCAAAATGCTGATGGCAGAACTTGACTACTACCTTGCACAAACTTGGGAGAGCATGAGAATTTTCTGGGGTGCTTGTTGAAGACGTATGCGTCTGATGTCTGAGAACAGAGGGGCTGTGCATTTTTCCCAATCTCTGAAGCTCAATTTCTTTCACTGTAAAATAGAAACAATACTCAAATGACTGATTTGAGGATTGAATGAACTCTTAACTCTAAAGGAACTAATATAATCTCTGGCATGTCATGAATGTGCAAAAAATATTAACCTATTATAAGGATTAACCTACTAAATTTTTGCTCTCTGCTCCAACCTTACCTAATCCTCTCTGCAGTTTAGAAACAAAACAAAACAAAACAAAAAGGCAAAAAGGCTCTCATGCTAGAGACATAGGCCATATGTTTAGGCAGCTCCCTACACACAGGTGTTCATTTCCATCTTTCCTGATAAGACAGCGATTAGAATTGAGATCCTATGGAGTTGTATTTCAGAAGAAATACAAGGAGAGATGGGAGGAGTCCACAGACCCTCAGCTTTAATTCTCCAGCCCAAGGTCACTATTCAGCCACCACTTGGCCCTCCCTACCTGTGTATTGCATCAGCCTATAAAATGACATGAAGTTTCTTGGGCTGCAATTAGGAGAGTGCATACAGACCTGTATCTCGTTGTGGAACCTCATTAAAGGGAGTGATAAAGTGAAGGTCGGCTATCTTTATAAGGACAAGAAGGGAGGAACCAAATACCCAGAAGGCAGGGAGGTTAATGAGAAATAGAATGCACTTTCAGCACTAAGCGATAAAAAGAGGAAATCTTACTGGGGCAGAATAAGCAGAAGCCCCCCAAAATTTACCCAAAAAATTCTGAAAATGCACTTTTATAAAGATCTTAAGATCAGAGGCTTCCAAAGAAAATAAGACAAATGCAACAAAACTGAATATAATGTTAAGCCAAAACAGAGACCTTCTCTCTCATTATACAAATTTTTGCTGAACGTTTACTATGTTCCAAGACTGTAATAGAATGGGAGAACACATTATTGAATTACAAATAATCCCACATCCAGGTACCATTTATTTTCTACATCTCATTGTTTCATTTATCCAGCAGCTATTTACTGAGTGCCTGCAATCTCCTCAATGCTCCTGAGACTTGTGGAACTCAAGGGGATGTTGTTTTGATCACCCACTGTGTATCCCCCTTCTGGTAACAGAGTAGGTACCAGGGCCATGATCTTGGGTAGTGGGTTATTGCAGTGAATCCCCTCCTGTGCTCACAGGGATGGCCTGGGATGGACATGAGCACAGCATGGTCAGAGCCCTGCTCTGAGACTTTCTCTCTGGAGACCATGATCAAATTTCTCTTCATGCTGTGGTCAAGTAGACATGGGACTGTGACCTCATGGCTATCACAAGGCCAAATCCCCCGGCAGGTGGAGGAGAATAACTGCAGGGGGAGCAAAGGAAGTGACACAGGAAGAGAGGAGGAAGAGTATGTGTGTGTACATGTGTGTATGTATATGTGTACGTGCACATGTGAAAGTGTGCATGAGAGACAGAGACAGAGATGAGGCTACAGTAACGTCAGGGTGTTTGATTTGCAGGATCTGCGTACCTAAAGCCAACCTCACTCTTGCCCTTTCCTTATCTGGTTATAAAATCCAAGCATTGTCTGATTAGATTTGGCTTCCTAACATAGAAGGGAAAACAAAAAAGGAAAGAAAATAGGCCATAATTTCAACTTTCAAGGACCTTAAAACCTAAAGAGGCAAGTATAGCTATCTGAACCCCTAACTATAACAAGTATACATTTATAATATCCCACAAGATATAAAAAGCCATAGAACAGAAGGCTCTTTTTTCTAATAGTTATGTTCTGTGGCACTAAACAATATCTGCTATTCTCTCTTTCAAACTGCGTCACTTCAGTTCATAAATCAGTTCTTCGGAACAAGAAGATTAAGGCAGAAACCTATTATTCCAAGGCAAATATAATGGGCTATGACCACATTTCCCTGAGAGGGTTCCCTGAAATGTCAGCCCTGGGATATGTGGGGCTGAGTCTGCTCATGTCAAAATGGTGTAACCTGTGCCCGACAGAGATCCTCGTGTGTGGTGAGCACCAAATAAATATCTGGTAAATGAGCGAATGAAGTTGTCATGCAGAACTAGTCTGTTGTCAAATAAGTTAGGAAAATGTTACGTGTTTGTTCTTCCTACGGATCCACAGTGTAGATGAGCAAAAATAAAGGTTCTGAGAAGTTCTGCGGGAAGAAACATGTTTCCTTTTGTTTAGTGGACTGTTCCGCAGACCTTTTATCACTTACGAGCTCCTTCCATTGCAAGACACCAATTAGCTCACCCCACACCATGGATCTACTATGTGGACCACACCTGGGGAACACCGGATAACTGTCACTGGGAGACAACCCTTTCCCACAGCCCAGCCCAGACGCACCTAGAGCACGTTAATCAGGAAGCCTTGAGCCTCCCAGAAGCACCTTCTCCATATTCCCATCCCGTTTTCATTTCAACATGCTTCCAAAGCTCCTGCCAGGAGCAAGGGGTGCTGCTTCTTAACGTAGCTGGAAGACTACCCATGCGCCCCGCCACACACACACATCCACACCAGCACAAACACACATGCTGGGGGGCGATCTTAACCAGAGAGCATTTAAATACCAAGGCAAGGAGAAAATCCTTGAATTCAAACGTAACAGGCTGGCACAAATTAGGAAAGATTAATAGAGTCAGACGCACGCTCCTTGAGTCATTTTTAGATAATCAGTAGGTTCTCACTGGCATTATCCTAATCCCGCACCACAGTGGAAAGAAATTCACTGATGGCTCTTGTGGTCAACTCCACAGGAACCCAATAAGCTACATTAATGTGCAGAAAAGATCGGGGCCAGGGCAAAAGGAGCTGAGAGCTAATTCTAGGTATGAAATGCTGCCAGAAATCAGGAGCTCTGCTTCTTCAGGGAAGTCTGACATTCTCCATAAGAAAATTAAATAGTTACAATGATGAATTACATGCATTCGAGTTCGTCTTTGCAAAGCGGGCCCTAAGAGCTTTGCCCAGGAGTTGATTCTTGGAAGTTCTTAGCCCAAAATATAATAGGATCAGTGGCAAAATGGAGAGCCAAGATAGCTCTAACCTTTTCAGCAATCACTTTTTATTTTTTTTTTTATTTTTTTTTAGATGTGGAGACAGAAATTGGGATGCAGCCATTCCTTTAATGAAAAAAAACAGGCCCCTGGCGCGGTGGCTCACGCCTGTAATCCCAGCACTTTGGAAGGCGGAGGCGGGTGGATCACCTGAGGTCAGGAGTTCGAGACCAGCCTGGCCAACCTGGTGAAACCCCGTCTCTACTAAAAATACAAAAATTAGCTGGGCTTCATGGCAGGCGCCTGTAATACCAGCTACTCGGGAGGCTGAGGCAGGAGAATCACTTGAACCTGGGAGTCGGAGGCTGCAGTGAGCTGAGTTCGTGCCACTGCACTCCAGCCTGGATGACAGAGTGAGACTCTGTCTCAATAAATAAATAAATAAATAAATAAATAAATAAATAAATAAATAGAAAGAAAGAAAGAAAAAGAAAAAAAATAGGCAAGGAGGTGGAGGCGTGATCATGGTGGACTTCTTTAGACATTCATTTAACACTTTTGTTATAATCACTGTGCAAAACCTTTCCTGACTTTGATGGTCATATCAGAAGTTGATCTATCCTGCATGTTTTTCTTCATTCCTCTGGAAAGAAAGCCCACAACTTCATTTGAATAATTACTCATCTTGTACTTCATATGGTTCTCAGGGGACAGCCATTAACCAATCATACTACATGATTCCCTTTGTCCCAGTGATTGGGCCAGGGATAAACATGTGACCCAAGTCAGCCAACCAGAACACTTCTAACATTTGGCCTGTAAATTCTGGATGAAGAAATCATTTTGCCACTCAATGAACTGTACTTACTTTTTTCTAGAGTTGCTGGCAGCCGTCTTTTCTTTGTGAGGTAAGAGGGAACAAGGCTGAGGCAGGGAAAGTCGGAACTGACAGTTGCAGTGGCTGAAGCCTGTAGTCCCAGCTACTTGGGAGGCTGAGAGGGGAGGATCCTTTGAGGCCAGAAGTTCAAGACTAATCTGGGCAACATAGTGAGACCCATTTCTAAAAAGCAACAACAAAAAAACCCGCAAAACATAAAATAAAAAGAATCAGGACAAAGAGAATTAGAATTTGCGAAGCAGGAATAATGAGGGGGAGGGGAGATTTGATGACACTATCTGAACTCCGTGATGGCATACCAGGAGCTAGTTTGTGCTGGATTTTCTGTCACAACTAGAAGAATCCTGGCCTATATCATAGCCACATCCAAACTGTATTCGTTTATTATTCTATAACAAGTGCATTATCTTACAGTTTTGCAAGTCAGAAATCCACAATAATTCTCATCAGGCTAAAGTCAAGGTGTTGGCAGGGCTAGGTCCCTGCTGGAGGCTTTGAGGGGAGAATACGTTTTCTTGTCTTTTTCAAGTTCTAGAGGCCACCTGCATCCTTGACTCACATCATTCCAACCTTTTGCTTCTATTGTCACACCTAACTCTGATCCTCCTACTTCCCTTTTGTAAAAACTCTGTGATTACATTCAACCCATCTAAGTAATCTAGGGTAATTTCCCCATCTCAGATCTTTAACATAATCACATCTGCAAAGTCCCCTTTACCATAAAAAGTAACATATTCACAAGTTCCAGGGATTAGGGCCTGGGCATCATTGAGGGGCTATTTTTCAGCCTACCATAGTTGGTGTGCAACAAATATTCATAGAAGGAAAGTATGTGAAATGTTTACAGTTTTTCCAAAGCTCAAATGTTGTAAGCATCTTCAACATTAGGGAAGGCATAGGATTATGGCAGAGAACAGAAAAAGAATACAGCCACTAAATCCTCCCTGTGGGACTTGGGGTCTGTCTCCATAATCATTTTATCAGTCTAAACTCCTACTGGGTTAAGCGCTGCCTTTGTTCAATGCACATTATTCAAATGCAGTTCCCCACAGAAATATGAATTACTAGCACTGATAAGAAGAAGTTTTGGAACCCAAGGCCTTCCCAGAGTCCTCTTAAACCACACTTTTTCCTTGGATTTAGACACTACCCTTACCAGAGAGGGAGATTATCACAGATTCTACTTACAGGTGGGCAAGATCTATGCTATGGGAGGAGTCAAGTCTGCTAGCTGTTGAGATGCTTCGTGGGGCTCACAAGATTGCTCCTGAATGTCTGACACAAGCTGATACTGACTCATCTATCAAATGTCACAACTTGTTTAAAAACACATCATAATATGTGTCAATCAGTTCAACTCCCATTTCTTCCTCTTGCTGATCTCCAATCATCTTTAAGGTAAGAATACCATGATGGGATTCACCTGTTACTAGCAATAATAGTATTATCTAACATCTATTGATGTGTATTATGTACCATAGATAGTTATATACATTGTAGAGTAGCAGTTAGGATCATGCTAGCTGCTGTAACAAATAAATTCTTACATTTCAGGGGTTTAACATTTAAAAAGCTTATTTTATGCTCGCAAAATGCCTAGTCAGCAGGGAAAGGAAGGGAGTGCAGTTATGCTCCATGCAGCTAAACGGAGACACAGATTGCTTCCATCTTGTGGATCTCACATGCCCTGCAGTCTCAGAGACTTTGCCAATAGCTGGCAGGCAGGGAGAGATCATGGAGGTTCACCTATAGGAGGCTTTTATGGACCTAGCTCACATGATTTTCATTCATATTCCATTAGCTAGAACCATTAGCTAGAACCCAGAGACATGACCTCACCTGGCTGCAAGGGAGGCTGGGAGGTATAGAGTGACTTTGTGTCCAGGAATACGAAGGACAAGTTTCAGGGAACTCATAGCAATCTCCACCATTGCGTATTTCTCACATGATCTCAGCTAATCCTTCCAACAACTCTATGAGGTGGGTACTGCTGTCATTTCCATTGCACACTTGAGTGTCCAAGGAGTCAGCTACGCTTCAAGTTCACACAACCAGAGCAGTGCTCAGAATGCAAGTCTTTATGGCTCCCAATTTCATACTTGTATCCTATGGTTCTCAAACAGGAGTAATTTTGCCCACCCTACCCCCTACCACTGGAGGATATCTGACCATGTCTGTACACATTTATGTTTGTCACGACTGGAGAACCAGGACTGGCATTTAGTGGGAAGAAGCCAAGGACGATGCCACACATCTTACAATGCACAGAACAATCCCAACAACTAAAAATTACCTGGCCCAAAAATGTCAGCAGTGCCTGAAAAGCCTTAGCATGATACATTTCTTAACAGGTATAAGGATGTGGGGCTGGACCTCCAGGGGTTACTCACCTGGAAAAGCTCCTGAGACTGGCATGAAGCAGTCAAATCTAAGTAATACAGGGCTTCTTTCCTGCAATGCAAAAGGCAAATTGCCAAATTATTTAACTTATGATGGAAATTATTGCTCCAATAAAAATATATCCTTTGGAAATATGACTGCAAATAAGCAGAGGCATGAGCCAAAGCAAGAATCGGCTTCAACCGGAACAGCAAGGGGCAGCAGGGGATGGGCGCTAAAGAAAATCTGGCGTAGGATGGTTCTTTTTTCCTATCAACTGCTCTTGGCCATGTGCTGACATGAACACTTATCCAGCGTGGATTTGACAAAATGGTAAGTCTTGACCACAATTCTGAACTTGTTTTCACAGATGAAAATGAGATGCTTTCTGCAGTAAGAAAAGTGTTTTTCTGTGCCATCCCCCAAATCCCTTCCTCTGATTATGAAGGAAAGACAGAGGTTTGCTAAGGTCAAGAGCAATTTCAAATGGCTTTGGATTGGGGGAGCTGATTTAAACCTTGGCTCTGCCATTTTCTCGCTGTGTGATCTTGGGAAAATTACTCTTCGTGTCACTTTTCCCACCTGTGAAATGGGGATAATAATTGCACATACTTCACAAAGTAGTAAAGATTAACTGAGATAGCCATGTAAAGCAATTAGGTCAGAGCCTGGCACCTAGTTAGCCCTGGAATGCCAGCCCTCACTTCTCATCATCATCATCATCATCATCATCATTGGGAGCACTACAGGGAAGGCAGGATAATAATGTGCTGAGCGTTGGAGTCAGAATGTAGCCTAAAAAGATTTCACTGTGGCTGGCATGGGGGTGACAGAGCTTCAGCTTTGCTTCTTACTATTCCTATGAGCCTGACCACATCATCTAATAGGCTCTGAGCCTCAATTTATCCATCAGTGAAATGGAGATAAGGTCCTACTCAGGGCAAACATGAGGGAGTGGAAGTGTTGCCAAGTGATAGAGAGCACAGGCTCTGCAGCCGACTGCCAGGGTTCAAATACGCCAGTCACTGGCCCAATGACCTTGAGTGACTGATGCAACCTTCCCATGCCTCAAGTTCCTCCCCTGTCAAATGAGAATAATAATAGTTACTGTTAGGATATAAAAGACATAAGGGGAAGGATCCTTGTCTACTTAGTTTATGGCTAGAACATCAGCACTTAGGACTGGGTCTACTACATAGTGGGCATTCAACAATATTTGTTGAATAAATGAATGAAAGCTGGTCCCTGTGGAACAGGATTGCAGTGTGGCTTAAATGGAATTATATCTGTGAAGGGCATAGAAGGACCTGGCCCATGCTATGCATACAAGAAACATTGGCTATAATAACACTGTAAATAAGCATTGTCCAAATGAAGGGTCATGAAATCTAAACACACACAGTGACAGTCTTAGATTGGGTCACCAGACCCAGGAGCAGCCATGGGTGTGTAGTCAAGGCAGCCTGGCGTTCTTCCTTCTTGGCCTGCTCTCTACTCCATGGTTTGCTGCTCTCTGTCCAGCCAGGCATCATATGAACTTCATGTTCCCCCCACGTTGATATGTTTGGGTTTCTTCTCCAGCTAGGTGCATACAGCAGACCCCTCACTGAGCTTCCATGGTGGCCTATGAGTGACTCTCTCCTATGCAGCATATCTGTTCCTCCATGGGTCTGGGCAGCTTTGCCTTAGCAAAATGGTTTCCTCCAGGAGAAGTGTTTAGCATAGAGAATATCCATGAGAGGCCTTGTGTGCAATTTAAATCTTACCTATGGTAGACATTCCTAACTGGCCCTCCATGGTGGCCATGACGATGACCATTTAACTTCCATTTCACCCTCCTTCTAGTGGCTACAGATGCTGTAAAGCTAAATGCTGTTTTTCTTAGACCCCCCCAAGTTTCAAGATATCATTTAGGTTTGGCCAATGGGATGCACAAGACCTAGAAGATGGCAGTGAGAGAGAAGCCATGCTTCCACTGCTTCTGCTGGCTAGAGTTGACACAACAATATTTGATTTTTCTATGTCGGGCTAGTAGAGTTCCACAGAAGGGACTTAGCATTGTGGGTATCATGAGGCAGGATGGAGGGTGCCATTTTGCTGGTATGGATTCAGCACATGTGTCATGGCTCTGGAACCAATGTTTCTGATGGTGGCTTCTTGATTCCTGGATCACACGAAGAGAGTATGAACAGAAGCCAGCACTTTGTAGGACAGTGTGTCAATTCTCCAGTTTCCTGGGTAGAAAGAGAGGCCATTCCCTATGTGAGCTAAGTCTGTTTACTCTTTTCAAAGTCATTCCTGGAGCCTGATCTCAGCCTTTCCAACCGTCTTCTAAGCATTGAATATCATGTGATTGATTACTCTCAGCTTAAAATAGAAATTTTTGTGTTCTAACACCAAGCCATGACTGAAAGAAGGCTTTTATGCCATCAGCTCTGATTTTCAGTGACTCTCCCACCTGCTCCATCTCAGTCCTCCTAAGCCCTTCTGGGTGGAATATACAACCCATGCTTATGCCAGTGAGAGGACTGAGTCCTCCTCACATGGTCTTTGCATCAGGAGTGAGCATGTGGCCCTAGCCACCCAAATCAGAGTGAATTTTAGGAATTTTTCTGAGAATGCTTGGCATAGAGTCTCCAACACTTTTCTGCCAGAATTGAAACTAGTAAGATGTGACTTTGGGAACCAGAAGCAGGCATTTTGCTTCTATGAGAAGAAACCTGTCTGCGAGTGAGTCCTCCAAAGATAAAACTAAGTCGAGAAATGCAGACTAAAAAAATCACATCAGTGGCAGCATGCGCTCTTATATCCAGCTGCACCAAATGTAAAATTTACCCTTAGATGATTAAGGTATGTAAGCCAAGAGGGTTTCATTTATTTTTTTTCCCCATAAGCTAGTTTGGGAGATATTATCCATTATTTACAATTAAAAAGTCCTGATTGCCATACTATCCAACATAGTAGTTTATTTTTGTGGGCTTGTCTCTGCTTCTAGAAACCAAAGATTGATGCAAATGTTTCCTGGGAAATAGTCAGTTACGTGCAATAGAATGTGCAGAACCTGTGGCGAGAGGCTACCACTTTACTTTTCTCTCTACCCTTGGTCTTCCCCAGGCCTGCTTCCTCCTAATGTCTGTGGACATCCATCCTGAAGCCGATTCTCCAGAAACCACTAGCCCAGAAGGCTCTTGTCTCTGTAATTCACTCCACAAGCTTTGGCTTCTGAGAAAAAGGAGTTTGTTTGTTTGTCACTTATTGTAATTGATTTGTTTCTTCCTAACAGTGTACTGATTTCCTTAGCTTCAGACAGCAAATCTGGAGCTGAGAGCTCCAGGAAGTCATTATTAGCTGCACATCACTTGCCATGCTGGAAGCATGGATTTAGATGGCCCTAGAAATGAAAAGCGTTTGGGAAGAGTGAGGACCAGAGCTAAGGTAGTTTTGTGTGGAGAAGAGAAGTTTGAAAAGGTCTCAAAAGGGTCGAGAAGGAATGTACAAAAACACACAGACCTCCCTATCCTTGCCGTAATTCTGGACACGGGGTTCCATTGAAAAAACCATAGCCACCCAAACTTGGCCACCATAGAGCTTTTGTAGTGACCACTGTCCCTGTGCATAGTTTGGGGTCCAAAGTGTCTCAGATATGAGATGATTCTTCCTTGGTAAGGGAATGAATGACAGCAAAATTTTGGAAACTAAAATGTTAGGCCTTGGTGTGGCCTTTTATCTCCCTTAGACATACAGGCAATCGGTTCCACCTGCCGGCTGCCCTCTGCTACCTGCTCTTCAAGGGCAGGATTCTAAGTGTCAGGTCTTAACTATTCCTGCATCAGACCTATCTATCTCTGTTTCTAATGATGATCATTGAGGAAACCAATGTGGTGTATACATGCACTTCCCCACAGAAACCTTTATCAACACATTTTATATGTGGTCTTTCTCCTTCACATGCCACACTCCAAAGATCACCTGAGAGCAGGTTTTCAGGCCATATGCAAGGGAAATATTGAAGAGATTTGCAGCAAGTTCTCAAACTTCATCACCACTCTTCCATTGGCTTATACCACAGAGATGAACGTAGTGCCTCCTCTAAGATAGTGAAATTAAAAGTAGCATTTCTGAAACAATATCCAATGCAGGCTTTTATATATCTAACACTTGACAATCACCCTAAACTTTGGCTTATAAAGTCCTCCCCTTTGACATCTCCAGGAGCTTAGAAAGTCTGCAGGGTAAATGGTTCTCTTAGCGCCATTGTGCAGGTGAGGAGATGTCCTGGCAAGGCAATGTCCAGTGACTTCTCAAGGTCAAATAGCTATTATGACGTGGAGTCAGGACTTGAATTCAAATTGCTCAATATTTAAGCCAATGAGCATTTCTTCTCTGCAGTTCAAGGAGATGTCTAATTCCCTACAGGATACATTGGCATCTGCAAATTGTCCACAGGGGATCCACATAACTTGAACTAATGGCCTTAGCCTATGACTTTCTTGTTTTGAAGTACTTAAAAAAACAGCAATTTAGCATGTCAGAGGCTGTCAGGAGATTCAGTATTTTCTCTTCTTCTTATCATCCTTCACCAAGAATTAGGAAGAAGCAAAGCAGAAAACAAACATCTCAAGCTTGAGATCACCCACCATAGCTTCCTCTTGAGCAGAAACAGTAAGATGCTCTTACAGCATCTCTGGAAAACATTAGTGACCATTCTTTGCTTTAGTGACATGATAATTAGAATGAAGTTATGGTGGAATCAGAAGACACTGGAATCTAGATGCCATCCTCCTGAATTTGCAATTAGGGACATTTGTGAACGGTGATACAAGCTACCAGAACTAACCGCAATAAGAAGTCTTGAAGGTAAAGACAGAAAGGCTGTGATGAACAAATAAGGCCAAACAGAAAGGTATGAACAACACTGTGTGATTTCATCAGTTATAATACCCTTACTTTCACTGTGGCTTGCACTACCCAGGGAAGACTTCAGATAAGCTGGATTTAGTTAAAATGCACAGGGACATCTGATCAATGTGCTAAATGAACAGGCTCTGACACCACTTTTACTTTCCCTCTTCACTTGCTTTCAATATTAAGATTGAGGCATTGCCTGTTAGGTATTCTTCCTGCAAGATGGAGCGGAATAGTACAAAATGCATTTGCAAGCAGGCCAAATCATGATTGACAAAACGAAATTTGTTAATACAATGGTTTGAGGCACTTGACAGAAATTTTTGTCAACAGTGTAGATTAAGGGATTCAAAAATATGAAATTTGCAGATGAAATGGCTTTGATGTTTCTCATGAAAAGCATTTTATTGACAGACTGGATCAGAGTGAAAAAATGTGCATCTTCTCAATGCATGCATTTTAAGTCTTTGATAAAACACGTATTAGTCCTGCTGTTTTTGCTCATTTGTCGTATATTCCATTGGCTTTGCCTTTAGCCACAAAAAGGGATCAGGTGTGAGTAGAAACAGAATGGAAAACCCCCTAAAGAAAGTGTCAGATTGGTCCCCATGAATTGTGGCCATGTCATTTTTTCAAGTGCTTATTGACTAGGTCCCATACACTCTTTTTGATCTTATTCTATTAATTCTTCAAAGAATGAGATTCTTTCTCATTTAGAAAGATCTTCTGGTATCAGTCAGGACATTTTGGTTACAAGTAGCAGAAACCAAAAAAAAGGATTATAAGCCACTGGTTCTCAAAGTGTGGTTCCCAGACCAGTAGCACCAGCATCTCCTGGAAAATCATTTGAAATGCAAGTTCACAGGCAGCTCCCTCGACCAACATGGAGGTGGGGCACAGCAATAGGTATTTTAACAAATCCTTCAAGTGATTCAGTGCACACAAAGGAGACAAAAGATTGGCTCACTTAACTGAAAAGTTCATGGCTAGATATATGAGGCTGCAAATATGACTGTATCCAGGAACTCAAACAGTGTCATTAGGACCATCACATCAAGTTTGTTTTTTTCTTCTAGTGTGGTCTCACTCTTAGATAACTTATCTCTTCGTGACGGAAAGATATCAACAGCTCCATGCTTATGTCCCATCTTTTTTATTTACACCATGATATGGTTTGAATCTGTGTCCCCACCAAATCTCATGTCGAATTGTAATCCCCAGTGTTGGAGGTAGAGCCTGGAGGGAGGTGATAAGATCATGGAGGTGTCTCTGATGAATGGCTTAGCACCATCCTTTTGGTATTGTTCTTATGATGGTGAATGAGTTCTCACAAGATCTGGTTATTTAAAAAGCATGTAGCACCTCCCCCATCAGTGTTTCTCTCACTCCTGCCCCCACCATGTGAGACGCCTGCTTCCCCTTCTCTTCCACCGTGATTGTAACTTTCCTGAGGCCTCACCACAAGCCAAGCAGATGCCAGCACCATACTTCTTGTACAGCCTGTGGAACTGTGAGCCAGTTCAACCTTTTTTCTTTATAAATTACCCAGTCTCAGGTATTTCTTTATAGCAATACAAGAAATGACTAAGAAACCCCAGAATAAACACAGTGCTTTGCCCCAAGATCTTCCATAAACACCCCCAAATGGAGTCTCTCAACCTCCCTGATTGGTCCAGTCCAGGTTTTGTGCCCTTCCCTGAACTTATCACGCTGCCAGAGGTTGTCACACTCTGAGTGGCCAGTTATGGTTTACCTGTCAGAGGTGGCATGAACTCTAAAGCCATAAGGACAGAGGGTAAGAAGGACTGATTGCCCCTAAAAAGTCCAATGTGAATGCAAGAAGGCAGGGGAATGGATGCTAAAGAGATTTAGTCCTTGGTCTTCTAATAAATTCCAGATTAAGGTACAAGTAGCTTCCCTAAATACAAACACACACACACACACACACACACACACACTTACATTAGTGTTTCTCTGGATACTGAAAAAGAACCCTCACCTTTAATCTAACTCTTCCTCATGCTCTCTCTTGCTTCTTGGTTAATGCAAAGAGTGGAAGATCAATTCTTACTAAATGCAATCCAGAACTGATAGCAAAAGAACTGAAAGAGAGAATTCCTTAGCAAAGCCCATGTCCCTAAATAAAGAGGGTTCCTAAGGTTGATGATGGGGAGGAGCCTACAAAAGATTCCTTCAGGAGCATCAGGCACAGCTCTGCACAGATGGGGGGCAGGTGGCCATCTTTGACTCTGCTGCAATTCAGTGTGACAATCCCCCTCAGTAGAGCCTTTTATTTCCCTGTAGTTCACAGAGGAATTTATTTTGCAGAGGAATAAAGAACTCGTGTACATGATTTGGCTTTCATCTTCAAACCAAGACTAAAACTTTGAGCTGTCATAGTTGTGCCATCTCAGCAGCCCAAATTCAGTGTTTTACAAAAGAGAGAGAAGAAAGAAAACTTTATCCATTCCCTGAGCTGTCACCTCTACCCAGATCAAGGCAATGTTTTCCTATTTTAGAACAAATGAAAATGCTCCATGAGTAATCTCATTTTGACTGAGGAATTACTATCAAGAGCAAACGTCTTGTCAAATGCCTCTTATACGGCTATTTGCAATCTCACTTGTTCTTTTGTGCCCACCCTCTACATTTGGATCAGCCCAAACCCAGGAGACATGTTGAATTCTTCCCTGCATTTCCAGTGCTGGGCACAGAATCTGGCACAGGGTCTTTGCTGAATATATGTATGTTGCACTGAATTAGGTGGAAAGGGTGTCCTGTTTCCCATAATTTTTCTTTTCTACTATTAGATAGCTTCATTGCAGCATACGCTCCACTGTTTTATGGTTTCTATGAGACAATATTTGTTCCCTCATCATTAGACAGGCTATTTGACAAGATGGGCCACTTTAAGGGATATACCTTATGCCGCCTTTCGCTCTTCTACAATTCAGCTCCATAAGGATGACCTTCAGACATTTTTACACCCAATTCCCCCGCAGCACCACTAGAGGGCAGCAGAGAACACAATGATGGCAAGATGGCCATTTTGTCCAGTCTTTGTCTTCAGCTCTCCTAGTCCCTCAATTTTCCCAGCTTTCATCCTTTTGTTAACTTTGGCTTTATGGGTGCAAGTTTCAGTACAGAAAAGCCTGATTTGCTTTAGAGCAAAGAAAACCATACCTTTTTTCTTCCTGCCTTTTCATGTGGTTTCTTAGAGAAATAATTTCATCAACGAGCCAAAACACTCAAAGTTTACAAAATGCACCTGTTTTGTTTTGTTTTTAAATATGGCCTCTCCTTTAGAAAAGAAAAAAAGAAAATAAAATCTTATCTACTACATTAGGCGAGAGTTTCCCTTCTGAGCGCCTTTTCTATAAGATCTTTAACTGAGCTCTGCTATCAGTCTCTTCAGCCTCCATTCTTCTTGTGATCCAAAATCCAGCCTGGAAAAAAGCTCTCATTGGCAGGATAATTAAAGTAGATGAACAAGTCCTTCAGTCCCAGTTAATCCCAGTAAGCCTAATTCAGCTTCTATAGATGGAAGGATAAAAGTGTTCTCCCATCAGGGTCATTCATAGTTGGACTGCAGCCTACACCAAGAAATCACTCCCCAGATAATCACAAGGTCATGGCGACCAAGTTTATACATAAGTAAGATTGAATTTGGTCTAGGTTTGATCCAACTGCACAGATCAAGGAATCACTGCCAAAAAGAAAAGAAAAAAAAAAGATTACTTAGAGCTAAATTTCAGGACAAACCAACACCTTGACTCCTTGCTTTCATGCAAAATTTCTCTTCAAGTTCCAGGAACACACCCCCAATTTGGCATGCAAATCAAAAGAGCCTTTTAAAATAACAATTTAGCAATAACTATTAAGATGAAATTTTCTGTTTCTAGAATGTATGCTACATGAATATACATATGTATGTGCATGTATAGCAGACAATTGGAAACAAACTAAATCTCTATCAGTAGATTATTTCAATATATTTTGATATACCCACACTCTGATATACCACACAGCTAAAAAAAGAAAAAGATTGCGATGTATCTGTCTTCAGTGAAAGAGAAGGATGGCTGAAAATTATTAATAGCAATGTACTAAAAATGTTAAGTACATATTTTTCATTTAAAAAACTATATGTCTATGTATGTAAATGAATGCAAATACAGATTTGTATTTCAAAATCTGGAAGGATTTACATAAACCTGGTTTAGGGGAGCATCATAGATAAGAGAGGAGTAAAAAGGTAGAAATTTAATTATATTCTGGTATCACTTACACAATTTTGTTAAATCTAAAATGTTGCTTACATAACTGGGCTCACATTAGCCAATGTTATGTTTGGTCACTTGCGATTCTTTATTCACTGAAACTCTAGTTGTTTCAGGTACTACCTAGCATTTGGTCTCCATATCCCAAGGACAAAGCAAAAATTTTAAGTTTTCTCTCTTGAAAGATTTTTGGAAACTAATATAACCCTGCTAGCATGAACAGACACAGCGTATATGAAAATTGAAATCACATCATTTTCAAACTGAAAGTAAACAAATGCCCTCTTACCATTAGCTGTGCCCAGAGACATCCACAAAATTAGAGTCTCAAAGCTGGGAAGGGAGCTCAGAGTTTTTCCCAATGCCCCATCACTCACAAATAAAGAAAGGGAGGCTCAGTGAGGTCATGTGGCACCCCCAGTTTATAAAAAGTCCAGCCCAGTTCTCAGAGTTTATTGGCCACATCATGAAATGGTCACATCCTTTATCACTGAAAACCAGAAGAATATTTTTGAGAGTGAAAGGTGGCACTGTTCATGATCACTGTGGGACAACAGTTAGGACTGTAAGTTAGGACTGTCCTGGGGCAACTGAACACACAGGCACTGTGCCAACCTCCTTCAACCACACTGAATTCCAAAAGAGCCGATATATGGACTTTGCACCCCACCCTTCCCAATGTGAAACCCTTATGAGAGGCCTTCTCCTACAGCAGTCATCGAAAGTATGGTTGTTTCTCTTTATTCTATTTTATTTCATTTGTTTATTTATTTTATTTTATTATTATTTTTAAGATGGAGTCCCTCTCTGTTGCCCAGGCTGGAGAGCAGTGGCACCATCTTGGCTCACTGCAACCTCTGGCTCCCAGGTTTAAGTGATTCTCCTGCTTCAGCCTCCCAAGTAGCTGAGATTACAGGCACCAACCACCACACCTGGCTAATTTTTGTATTTTTAGGAGAGAGGGGGTTTCACCATGTTGGCCACGGGGGTCTTGAACTCCTAACCTCAACTGATCCACCTGCCTCAGCCTTCCAAAATGCTGGAATTACAGGCATAAGCCATCCTGCCTGTCCCCTCTTTATTCTAGTTAAATATTCATTAACAATCATCTTCCTGGATCCCCAGAAGAAAGAAACTATTTAACAAATAATTTTATTAGTCCTGGGAGGAATAAAACCAAAACAGGACTACTGTTTTTCTCCAATGTTCTCTCAGTTAATCTCAGAGTCCTTGCAAAATGACACAGGCATCTGGGTCTGGTATTCCCAGCTCCTTAATAGAGTTTACCAGATTTAGGGAAGTGAAAATGTGAAACACTCAGTTAAACTGGACTTTCAAATTCAAATGCAATTTTTGAGACATACTTACACTAAAAGAAATTATTGCAAGTTTATCTGAAAGTCCAGCTTAAGTGGATATCCAACATTTTGCCTGGCAACCTTGTCACTGAACTCACATCTACCTCGCTTTTCAGAAGGTCCAAAACTTGCCGATGATTGGCTGGGCTTTTAGACCTGCAGATTGATGCTGGAGGAGGGAACATACAGAATAACTATGTAAAGTGCTTCCTCATACCTGCCTCATTCAAAACCCCATCAGAGGTACCTTGGGCCAGTGATCAAATCAGGTTTCCCTTTGGGCTCCAGATGCTCTCTGCTCTGCCATGCCTTCCACAGTTTTTTTTGGAGCACACCAGCCACCTGTGACTTCACTCAGGCTCTTATTCCTCCCCCAGATGCTTTTCTTATCTCAGCCTGACAAACTTTGCTGCTCTCGGAAGTCAGGTGGAAGAAACTTCACCCTAACGCAGTGTCTGCCTTTCACTTCACACGACTGTTATTACCTGACATTGCCTGCTACTGTTGCTGTTTCCTGGCTTGTTGTCTGTCTTCTCTGTCTAGAATAGAAGCTCCATGAGATCAAGGGCTCTGTCGGCCTTGACCATCACCATGTATCCAGAAGACTGTCCAGGGCTTATAAATAGCTAGAGAATTAATGAAGGGCAAGCCACTTTTACTGGAAAGCCACCGCCTCTGGGAAGCTTCTCCTGACCACCCTCAGGAAAAATTAATGACTTCCTCCTTGGCAATCCCACTGCCCACTGCTCCCCTTCAACAAGGCATGCATTCAATAAATAGTCATTGAGCACTAATGATATACCAAGAGTTTGGCACATCACAGAACTTAGTTCCATATTCATCTATCTCCACTCTAATGGATGAAATTCTTGAGGGTAGGGAATTACTTACTCATCTATTTTTTTATTTTTATTTATTATTATTATTATTATAATACTTTAAGTTTTAGGGTACATGTGCACAACGTGCAGGTTTGTTACATATGCACACATGTGCCATGTTGGTGTGCTGCACCCATCAACTCATCATTTAGCATTAGGTATATCTCCCAATACTATCCCTCCCCCATTCCCCCACCCCACAACAGTCCCCGGTGTGTGATGTTCCCCTTCCTGTGTCCATGTGTTTTCATTGTTCAATTCCCACCTATGAGTGAGAACATGCGGTGTTTGTTTTTTGTCCTTGTGATAGTTTGCTGAGAATGATGGTTTCCAGCTTCATCCATGTCCCTACAAAGGACATGAACTCATCATTTTTTATGGCTGCATAGTATTGCATGGTGTATATGTGCCACATTTTCTTAATCCAGTCTATCATTGTTGAACATTTGGGTTGGTTCCAAGTCTTTGCTATTGTGAATAGTGCTGCAATAAACATACGTGTGCACGTGTCTTTATAGCAGCATGATTTATAATCCTTTGGGTATATACCCAGTAATGGGATGGCTGGGTCAAATGGTATTTCTAGTTCTAGATCCCTGAGGAATTGCCACACTGACTTCCACAATGGTTGAACTAGTTTACAGTCCCAACAACAGTGGAGAAGTGTTCCTATTTCTCCACATCCTCTCCAGCACCTGTTGTTTCCTGACTTTTTAACGATCGCCATTCTAAATGGTGTGAGATGGTATCTCATTGTGGTTTTGATTTGCATTTCTCTGATGGCCAGTGATGATGAGCATTTTTTCATGTGTCTTTTGGCTGCATAAATGTCTTCTTTTGAGAAGTGTCTGTTCATATCCTTTACCCACTTTTTGATGGGGTTCTTTGTATTTTTTTCTTGTAAATTTGTTTGAGTTCATTGTAGATTCTGGATACTAGCCCTTTGTCAGGTGAGTAGGTTGCAAAAATTTTCTCCCATTCTGTAGGTTGCCCGTTCACTCTGATGGTAGTTTCTTTTGCTGTGCAGAAGCTCTTTAGTTTAATGAGATCCCATTTGTCAGTTTTGGCTTTTGCTGCCATTGCTTTTGGTGTTTTAGACATGAGTCCTTGCCCATGCTTATGTCCTGAATGATATTGCCTAGGTTTTCTTCCAGGGTTTTTATGGTTTTAGGTCTAACATGTAAGTCTTTAATCCATCTCGAATTAATTTTTGTATAAGGTGTAAGGAAGAGATCAAGTTTCAGCTTTCTACATATGGCTAGCCAGTTTTCCCGACACCATTTATTAAATAGGGAATCCTTTCCCCATTTCTTGTTTTTGTCAGGTTTGTCAAAGATCAGATAGTTGTAGATATGCGGCATTATTTCTGAGGGCTCTGTTCTGTTCCATTGGTCTATATCTCTGTTTTGGTACAAGTACCATGCTGTTTTGGTTACTGTATCCTTGTAGTATAGTTTGCAGTCAGGTAGCATGATGCCTCCAGCTTTGTTCTTTTGGCTTAGGATTGTCTTGGCAATGCAGGCTTTTTTTTGGTTCCATATGAACTTTAAAGTAATTTTTTCCAATTCTGTGAAGAAAGTCATTGGTAGCTTGATGGGGATGGCATTGAATCTATAAATTACTATGGGCAGTATGGCCATCTTCACAATATTGATTCTTCCTACCCATGAGCATGGAATGTTCTTCCGTTTGTTTGTATCCTCTTTTATTTCATTGAGCAGTGGTTTGTAGTTCTCCTTGAAGAGGTCCTTCATATCCCTTGTAAGTTGGATTCCTACGTATTTTATTCTCTTTGAAACAATTGTGAATGGGAGTTCATTCATGATTTGGCTCTCTGTTTGTCTGTTATTGGTGTATAAGAATGCTTATGATTTTTGCACATTGATTTTGTATCCTGAGACTTTGCTGAAGTTGCTTATCAGCTTAAGGAGATTTTGGGCTGAGACGATGGGGTTTTCTAGATATACAATCATGTCATCTGCAAACAGGGACAATTTGACTTCCTCTTTTCCTAATTGAATGCCCTTTATTTCCTTTTCCTGCCTGATTGCCCTGGCCAGAACTTCCAACACTATGTTGAATAGGAGTGGTGAGAGAGGGCATCCCTGTCTTGTGCCAGTTTTCAAAAGGAATGCTTCCAGTTTTTGTCCATTCAATATGATATTGGCTGTGGGTTTGTCATAAATAGCTCTTATTATTTTGAGATATGTCCCATCAATACCTAATTTATTAAGAGTTTTTAGCATGAAGGTTGTTGAATTTTGTCAAAGGCCTTTTCTGCATCTATTGAGATAATCATGTAGTTTTTGTCTTTGGTTCTGTTTATATGCTGGATTACGTTTATTGATTTTCGTATGTTGAACCAGCCTTGCATCCCAGGGATGAAGCCCACTTGATCATGGTGGATAAGCTTTTTGATGTGTTGCTGTATTCGGTTTTCCAGTATTTTATTGAGGATTTTTGCATCAATGTTCATCAGGGATATTGGTCTCAAATTCTCTTTTTTTGTTGTGTCTCTGCCAGGCTTTGGTATCAGGATGATGCTGGCCTCATAAAATGAGTTAGGGAGGATTCCCTCTTTTTCTATTGATTGGAATAGTTTCAGAAGGAATGGTAACACCTCCTCCTTGTACCCCTGGTAGAATTCAGTTGTGAATCCATCTGGTCCTGGACTTTTTTTAGTTGGTAAGCTATTAATTATTGCCTCAATTTCAGAACCTGTTTTTGGTCTATTCAGAGATTCAACTTCTTCCTGGTTTAGTCTTGGGAGGGTGTATGTGTCGAGGAATTTATCCATTTCTTCTAGATTTTCTAGTTTATTTGTGTAGAGGTGTTTATAGTATTCTCTGATGGTAGTTTGTATTTCTGTGGGATAGGTGGTGATATCCCCTTTGTCATTTTTTATTGTGTCTATTTGATTCTTCTCTCTTTTCTTCTTTATTAGTCTTGCTTGCAGTCTATCAGTTTTGTTGATCCCCAACTATTAGGAGAGGATTAGAAGGTTCTTATTAAATGGATTTATTTTTAACACTAGATATTTGGATCCATGTAGTTAGAGAGTTTGTTTTCTTGATTATTAAAATTGAGACACCAGATTTTTTAATTGCTTTTAAAATTTATGTTTTTTAGGTTCAAAGATCTAGTTTGGTAAGTTTACAGATAAAAGAGTACTTTCTTTCTCTGCATATAGGTGGATCTTCCTGAGGACTGGTTGGCTCCTTATAAAGAGAGTCTGACGGTAGAGTGCCCTTTAACATGGGAATCCCGCCTCTAAAGGAGGAAAAAGGGCACAGAGGAGGTTCATTTCATCAGAGTTTATAATAATTTTTGGGTAGAAATAACATGATCAAATATTCAATGTAGACCTATGCAGTCATGAAAATCATTTGTTAGAATATTTAAGAATGTCAAAAAATACCCAAGATCTAATGTTAATTGAAAATAATAATAAAGTGGTATTCCCAATATGATCTTGTTTTGATAAGAAAAAAGAACACACACACATACACACACAGATGAGTGAATTATAAAACCAAAATATTACCATTAGTTAAATCTAGGTGTAGGATTACAGATGCCTTTAATTTTCTTTAGTTTTTAAATGTTTCAAAGCTCTTATAATAAAAATAATGAAAATGTATTATTTTCTACACCAAGAAAATGTATTATTTTCTACACCAAGTATTTTCCACACTCTTGGTGACTCCTAATGTCACCTGTGGACTCTGGATGACAAGGATGTATCAATGTAGGTCATAGATTTTAACGAACAGGCCACTCTGTTGTGGGGTGTGGGTGACAGGGGAGGCTGTCCATGTGTTCAGGGAAAGGTGTGTTGGGAACTCTTTGTACCTTTTGCTCAATTTTTCTGGAAACCTAAAACTGCTCTAAAAATACATTCTATGTTAGAAACTATATTACGTTGTTAATAAGCAAAATATAACTAACGTAAAGGAGAAAAATGCCTTGGGAATTGGAGAAGATCAAGTAAACTGAGAATGAGTTGCTGGAGGACATTAGAAATCCAAAGTGAGAAAAGTAGCCTAACTCCCAGAACTTTGAAATGCTGGGAGGATCTGATGGCTTGATCTCCCGCTGGGAAGAGTTTTCTCCTGTGTTCCTATAAGAGGGGAAGAACTTTGAGAAGGTTCAATTGTGCCTGTGCACACACATGACACATGCACACATAGAGCCATGTTATCTTCTTTACATACGCACACACACACACACACACCTCCTCACATTCACGAAAGCAACGCTGTCCCCAAACCTTCCTCCTCCAAATACCCTGTTAAAAAATCCAGTTCAGGGAATCCCGTGTCTCCCAGAAGCCTGATCAGGAAAATACCTTGGAGACTTTCAGGTTCCATTCTTATGAGTCCATAGCCCATCTCCCTATTAAGTGCTGAGAATTTTGAGGAAGGGAAGGAGTTGCTTTGATTGGGTCTGGAAATTATTTTATCACTGAGAATGAATTTACTCCCTTGAGAGTAACCAAGAAAGTTTCAGCTTCTGATGAAAACAAAGTCGCAATGATCAATTCTGGGAGCCCCAAAACAAACATTTATAAACAACCCTTAGCTTAAGGTCTTTTAAAAATGCCTTTTTCCCTCCCATTTTAATATATCTGTTATCTTTTTGTTTCAAATCATGAACATTGCAACCCTCCAGGTCAGTTTCCTGGTTGAAAGGATGAACAGCTTCCTGGCTCAGTCGTTCACACTCTCATCTGGAAACACGTAGAAATGTCATTAAAGGAACTTGGTTATGTAAGAAGGTACTGTGAGGCCTAGTTATTCTGGGAAGCAGAGAAGGCATATCTCATCAGTGCTCTCTGGAGGATGAAAGAAGATCATGCATATGAGCCATCCAGGGCAGGACAAAAGAAGTACATAGTAGATGCACCTGTGGAGCAGTAGTTGCAGGCAAGTTGTTACTGATTATGATATTGTCATCATAATTAAAGAATGTTGATGAAGTCAGGATGAAAAACTGGGGACATATGTGCTCAGTCATTAGCTAGCTGTGTATCTGCCATTTGTGGATTACAGTTTACTGTCTATAAAATCAGAGTGTTGAGAAAGAGGCAATCTATTCCCAAATACTGTACATCATATTTTTAAAAATACAGATTCCAGGACAATATCCCATTCTTTCTATTTTTTATTCTTTGTTTTGTTTATTGGTGTTTTCTGTGTTTTGTTTTATTTTGTTTTGGAGACTCATTCTATCACCCAGATTGGAGAGCTGCAATGTAATCATAGTTCACCGCAGCCTCGAACTCCTGAGCTCAAGAAATCCTCCTGCCTCAGCCTCCCAAGTAATTGGAACTACAGACATGCACCACCATGCCAGGCTAATTTTTTTTTTGTAGAGATGGAGTCTTGCTATGTTGCCCAAACTGGTCTCAAACTCCTGGCCTTAAGTGATCTTCCTGCCTCAGACTCTCTAAGTGCTGAGGTTACCACACCTGGCACCCACCCTTCTAAATAAGAACTGTGACGAGTAAGAATCTTAGTATCTGTATGTTTTTAAAGATCCTCAGGTGTTTTGACTTGGACACCAGTCAATAAAAAAGAGTTTAGGCCCTGTTGGATTATACGTATCTCTGGACTTCTAAAATCTCCTGATTCAAAAGAAATCAAAGTGATGCCAAAAGGACCGCTGTGTGCAGAGATGTGATCGTCCAAACCTTTATGGATTTTAACTGAGGAAATACTGAATATGGCCTGAGGTGATAGACAAGCTAGACATTGAGGATGCACCATTACAAAGCTTAGATCTAAGGTTCAGAGAAAATAAATCTGTAGCAGGATGGCTAAGCTAGAATGTTGCCCATTCTGTAATATTCACAACATATTTCAGTCTTTCCACTAGTGAAAAATACCTACTTGCATTGGAACTTTGTTTTGTGCATTAAAAAATATAGTCACCAGATTCTCAAAATTACCCAGCTATGTTAATGTCAAATACATGAGAGAAAGGGCTTGCCCGTAATTTACATAAAAATACAAAACTTCAGTCCATAATCAGTACCTCTGAACAAAGTTATTCACATCAGCCATTGTCATTCAAGATGATACTGCAATAAAGATTCAGAGAGAAATCTTTGAATGCTACCCTGAATTATTCTATTCAAGGAAGAATTTTGCGTGAATATAGAAGTTACCTCCATAACTAACTGCATGCTGAAAATTAACTTAATAGTACTGAACACAGATCTTCAAGAAAGACTTCATTGGTCACAAGGGTTATCTGCCATGCTGCCTATTAGGAGCGTGAAGGTGAAGGTCCTAGCCTATAAGGCCCTCATCTCTGTGATGCTTAATCACTGCACATTCCAGCTCACAGCCTTAAAAACCCTGGCGGCAGAGAACTTGGCATGCATCATGCAGTTTGTCCTCAGTGAGGAAACAGTTAACTCCTTCACAAGCTATTATACTATAGAGCAGACATGTTCTACTGAAAAGACAAGTACAAAAATACAGTTAAACAGGAGGAATAAGTTCTAGTATTCAGTAGTACAGTAGGGCAATTACAGTTAGCAACAATTTATTGTATATTTCCAAATAGCTAGAAGAAAAAAATTATATTTCCCAACACAAAGAAAAATGTTTGAGCTGATGAATATCCAAGTTATCCAGATTTGATCATAACACATTAAATATATGTATCAAAATATCTCATGTACCCAAAAATATGCGCAACTATTATCTATTAATTTAAAAAAGTAGTACAAAAATAAATACATACATTTTTAAAACTATTTAAATAATTGTATAGAGAACCAGCAAATGAAGATTGTTACAACTGACCACATCCCAAAGGAGAAGGTAGGCTAAATCCATTTTCATGATTTCAGAGTTTGGGATACCATCTTGAGTCATTGAGATTGCTCTTCTGACTGGGTCTCTTTATATGTAGGTGATACTGATTGACATTCTACTTCATCCATGCTGGTTGACTATTCCCAGACAAATGAACATGAAACGTTCAAGTGTGTTTACATTTGCATCCAGGGAAAGTCATCCTTGAAATAAAAGAAGAGCTGGACGATCGGATTATTTTTTTCAGTTTCTGTAATAGTTCATTGGGTGTATTTACTCATTAATGAATTAATTTAAAATGTTTCTTGATTACCGTCTTTTGCCAGGAATTATTCTGGGTCTCAGATTAAAAAAATAATAATAATAATGAAGAAAAGCCCTGCTCCTGTTGACCTTACATTCTAGTAGAGAAGAGAACTGGACAAGTAAACAAATAAGCTAATTTTACATAGTTGTAAGTGCTATGGAAGAAATGAGCAGGATGGTATTGTGGAGGATAATCAGAAGAAGAATACTTTAGATAGATGGTCAAAAAACTGCTCTCTAAAAACATTGCAAAATTTCAGTGATTCGGGCCAGCAGCTTTGTCATCTAATAAGCATCTAATTGTTGTGGCCAATTCTGGAAATTAATATTTCTCTCAAGGTCCAGTGTTGAAGATGCCCACAATCCACTGATCCTTATTTTTATATACAAACCAGATAACTCTCACCAAACAAATAAACAACATTGTTCAAATTTGGACTTTGGCAGATATGTGGTAAATATTCATTTGGAGACTAGCTGAAGACTAATCAACAACTATACTTACTGAGTCATCTAACCAGATACTGTATGGAAGATGAAATGCACACCAGAAAAATTAAATACTATAGATTCTGCCTTTGAGGAATTTTTCATATATTAGGAAGCATATCATCTATTGCTTGGAATATTTCTACAGCACATAGGCTATTCAGAATAGAGCTTTACATTTTACAATACAATGCTCACTACAATATTATGAAGTCAGTGGTACATCCTTATTTTACATAGAAGAAAAATGAGGTTTTAAGGGCTTATGCTACTTGTCTAAGGCCACTTAAGTACTGTAATAAGAAGCATAGTCTAGACATGAACTCAAATTTTCTAACCTAAGTTATGATGCTTCTTTCATTTTCCCACATTGTACTAAGTGGAGTACAAAGAAAGGAAGACTCATCTCTCAGATTTTCCTTAAGGTGTAAAGCATGATAGGAATGTAGAGTAGACCTATTATCCTAGAGTGAGTCATAGTTGGTTCTGAAAGCACTGAAACCTGTTATTGGATTGTTGTAAAGATTTCATTGCATTTATACCATCTTAGTCTCACAATCACCCAGTGAAGTTCTTCAAGAGTCCATTTGAACCTCTCTTCCAGAACATTCTAAGCCATTACAGCCTCCAATGATAAACGGTACCCAATTCTGGACTCAGATTGCTCTACTCCAACCTTACTTTGTTGATGGAATCTTGTTGTTCTCAGTAACCCCTGTTCATGGTACAGGTCCCCAACTAGATCCTACAGAACCTGTGGGCAGAGCTGTGCCTCCCATTTTGATTCACAGCCGGTAGTAAGCTAGAGTCTGCTCATAAGAAGGAGAAAAAAAATGGTCTTATAATCTCCATTTTACAGATCAGAAAACAGAGACCAAGATACATAATGTGGTTTCCTCAGTGACTCAACTAGTTAGAGCCAAAACCACATCTAGACACAACATCTCCAGAAGGCCGGTATATACTCACTTCCCAAAATGCTCAATTCCCATAAATCCCATCTCCCCTAAACCACCCCACAGGGATCCTTGGCATTGAGAATTACCGAAGATGTAACAAGCCCTAAACTGGGAATCAGGAGGGCCTGTGTTGCAGATCTGTCTCAGCAATTGAATAATCCAAGAAACTTATTTTGTTCAATCAACTATAGTTATTCAGTGTCAACCGTGTGCACTTATGAGCACACTCACATAAGCATTGTTTTAGGCCTTTTGGGAAAAACATATTCTAATTGTGCAACATGTTCTATGAATCTGGCACTGTGATAAGCATTATGTATGTGTGTGTGTGTGTGTGTGTGTGTGTGTGTATATATATATATATATAAAATTCATCTTTGTAAAAGTACATTTTGTAACCTACTTTAACATACAAATAAAGTGGCTTCCCCAGGGTCATACAGGTGGCAAGTGGAAAAGCCAAGAATGCTTCATTCCTTCAGTGAATATTTACCAGGCACTGGCCCAGCCCTGGGGATCCTGAAAGGAGTGGCCAGGCTATAATCCTTGTTTTCTTGGAGCTCATGTTTCAGGTAAAGAAACAGATAATAAATCTATAGACTAATAAATTAACACGACAATTGCCATTGGTTATACCTGTTATATGATCACATAAAATGGGATAGGCAGGGATACCTCTCTATGTGACTACTCAGACCTGAGATTGGATTGACCAGGAGACAGCCATGCCAAAATTTGTCAGAACTTTCCAGGAAAAGAGGACTACAGGTATAAAGGCCCTAAAAAGAGAACAAAGTTGGCATATTGAAGGGGCAGAAAAAAAGACACATCTGTCTGGGGAAGCGTGAATAAGAGGAGACCGAGAAGATGAGGTCAGAGAGGTTGGCTGCAATCAGGTTATGAAGAACATACTGGCATGGTAAGAAATTTGGATTTTATTCCCTATGATAGGAAATCACTGCAGGCATCATCTTTACGTATGATTGTTTTTAAAAATGGCTCTTGTTCTGTTTGTTTTTCCCTTTCAATAAGCAAGTTCTCTAAAACTAGAGGTAATATTCAAAAAGTAAAATAGAAGAAACAAGTTTCTAAGAGACCAAGATGCTACATTCTACAATTAGGCTAATTTGTTTTAGACTTGTCCTGGAATGAGGCATTTGTTAAAGGAAAATATGTCTTACCCTTACATACCTTTCAACCTACAATAACATGGTGCCTGAATCACTTCTAGGAACAGAAGTCTAGCATTACAGTTGAAACCCATACACACAATTAGAACTTCTAATATTTTTAGTACACTAATATTTCTTATTTTCTTTGTAGGCAGATCAAGAACCTGATAGGAAGGTTGTAAGCCAGGGGGTGATGTGACCCGAATTACATTTGAAGAGTTTCCCTGGTTGCGTCTGGTGAATGGTCTGTAGGGTCAACAGTGAGAACAGGATTGTTGCCCCTGAATCCTGGGCTCTCTGCCTCAGAAGGCAGATGTTCCTTCTTACCTTGAAGAGACCTCAGTTCAGGAAGGATAAGGGCTGACATGAATATCAGGTGGACAGTGACAGTGGGAGAGAGAGGATACCCAAGGCCCACCTGTTTTTCTATCTCTAGGTTAAAGAATTGGATTTAGTACCTTCCTGCTCTCCAATGCCTGTGTTTCATCCAAGACACCCGTGGGCACCAGGGCCCCACCCTGAGCACTGAAGTCAATCCCACCTTTCTTTGTGATATGTTCCATGTTTATGTCCCTTCACTCTTGCTCTGTAGTCATCTCATCCCCCTGCCGCCCTGGCCTGTTACGTAGTTCTCATGGCCCACTCTGTTCATCCCCTCTCCTCATGCTCATACATGCATGGAGAAGAATTTAGTCCTTCCTCCTTCCTAAGCATCTGTTCTCAGACACCAGGAAACCTTGACAAAACCCTACTTCAGAGTCTGGGTAGGCAGGACTTGGCCAGCTGAGCCTCCCACAGCCTCCTGAAGATGGGAGGCTGTGATATTCACTGATGGCCTGCATTCTAAGAAGGACCCTCTGACAATCTGAATGGATGCCCATAAGAGGTGGAGCAGTAAATGAGGTAAACTCCACAGAGCCACTTCCCTGCTTTGCCACACAAAGCCAAGTTTCCCAACCTTAGAGGAACCAGGGCAAAAAAAATAAATAAAAATAAAAGCAAAATCCCAAAAGACACCAAAGCAATAAACAAGTAAGCAAAACTTTCCTGTACAGACTCTCAAAAACCCTAGCAGAAGCCCTGCAATCTTCATATCAAATTATTTAACCTTCTTAGGGTCAGTAAGACTAAGTCACAGTGGTAAAACAGCTGGTAATTGCCTACTGGATTTATGCAGAAACTATGGGGACTTTTGAGCATTCCCCTCAACTTGACCCAGCCAGAGCTACTCAGCTACACAAATGACCCTGCTGCTGCTTCTCCAGTGTTACCTGAGTAGACTTTTCCATGTACAGAAGAGTAAACTGAGGTTAAGTCATTTACTCAAGAGGTCACACCCTAGCTGAACATGGTGTTGTATACCTGTAGTTTCAGCTACTTGGGAGTCTGAGACAGAAGGGTTGCTTGAACCCAGGAGCTCGAGGCTACAGTGAGCTATGATTGAGCTACTGCACTCCAGCCTGGGCAATAGAGTGAAACCCTGTCTCTTTAAAAAAAAAAAAAAGAAAGAAAGAAAAAAAGACATCTGCAAAGAGGTCACTCACATCCTGCTCAAATGTAGGTAGCCAGGGGCAACAGAAGGATCTGAGATTGGAATCAGATGGAACTGGATCCACAACTCCTCACTGCTACGTATGTCCTGTGACCTGAGACCGTAACCTTTAGTGAGGATCTTGGATGGGAGATGGGTTGGGATGGGTATAAAGAGAGGAGAGAAAGTACAGAGGGATAATTGTAAGCATTTAATGATATGACACATGTAGAAACCCTGGCACATAATAGGTACTCAATAAATACTAGTCTTCATCTTCCTTCAAAAAACAAGCCTAACCCGGGCATCTTAGCTTCTAACCCAAGTTCTTCTCTGTAAGATTCAGCACGGTGTGTCCTATAGAACTTGTCCAGATTAAAGACAATTTCTTCTATTTTCATTTATACCTATATAAGACAAAATGAGTTAGAGAAAGATAATAGAAATTGTCTGATACAACCCTTTTATTTTACAGATGAGGAAAACAGGCTGAGAAAGAGAAGAGCTTGCTCAATGTCACACAGGAAGTTGGTAGGACAAGAATCCAAGTCAGTGGAGATATATATATAAAATGTATATATCACATATATATGTTATATAACATATAACTTCATATAACTTTGATATATATGATGTATCTATGTTATATATAACATATATATAAAATACAAAGAATGGCCTAGGGACATGTGAAAAAACTATAAACAGCAACAATACAGTGATAATACCTACAATTTGTGTATCCTTTCCTATGTTCTTAACATGCATTAACCCATGAAATCTTCACAATAGGCTTGTGCACTACATTCTAATAGTGGCCCCTGTGTAATAGCTTTCTAAGGTTTTACAATGATGAAGTCAGAATTGGAACTAGGACTCTTGGACTCTAAAGCCCTGCTCTCATTCACCATGCTGGACAGCCTCCCTTCTTGATTTACTGAGCACCAGTAATTTGCCTAAAATGGAATCACCTCTAGAGCACATAAAGTTTGAGACAATTAACATTTTACTGGGGAGAAATGAAATATATACATGAAATAGTGATTTACAGCAATCAAAGACAACATACTCAAAGTGATGAGATGCTAAGTTATCCAGGTTTGAGAGAAGAAAAAAAAGAATATGGTTAGAGAAGTGAAGGAGGTCTTTCCAGAGAACATGTCACTTGAGCAGGCCTGGAGAACAGTTCTGCCCTGGGAGCCCATGCTGGTGTGCCCTGTTTGGGTGGTGTGGTGGTTTTAAAATTCTTTGATATTCCTCCCGTCAAGAGGCATAGTTGAGATTTCCCCTTCAATATGAGTAGGACTCAGTAACTCACTTTTAACGAATACAATATGGGAGAAGTAACAATGTTTGACTTTTCAGACTAGGTCATTGTATTACTCCATTCTCACACTGCTATAAAGAACTTCCTGAGACTGGGTAATTTATAAAGGAAACAGGTTTAATTAACTCATATTTCTGCATGGCTAAGGAGGCCTCAGGAAACATAATCATGGCAGAAGAGGAAGCAAACATGTCCTTATTCACATGATGGCAGGAAGGAGAAGTGCCTGGCAGAAAAGAAAAAGCCCCTTATAAAACCATGAGATCTCGTGAGAACTCACTCACTGTCATGAGAACTGCATGGAAGTAACTGCCTCCATGATTCAATTGCCTCCCACCAGGTCCCTCCCATGACACCTGGGGATTATGGGAACTATAATTCAAGATGAGATTTAGGTGGGGACACAGCCAAACCATACAAGTCTTAGAAGGACCTGTGGCTGCTTTCCTCTTTCTTAGATCAATTGCCCTCTGGAATGCCAGATGTCATGATATGGGCATACTCAACAGCCCTGTAGAGAGACCCACAAGGTAATAAACAGAAGCCTCCTGTCCATCACCTATAAGAAATTGAGATCTCTTGCTAACAGCTATCCTTTTTGAAGAGGATTCTCCATCTCCAGATTGACATCAAGTCTTTAGTTAACTGCAGCCCTGACTGACATCCTGCCTGTAACCTCATGAAAGACCCCAAGCCAGAACCACACATCTAAGCTGCTCCCAAAGTCTCTGACCCATAGAAATTGTGAGATAATAAACATTAGTTGCTTTCAGCTACTAAGTTTGGGGGTAATTAGTTACACAGTAATACATTATTAATCCAGATGACAACGTATATATATATTGAATGGCTGTGAAAAATAAAGAGGATGAAGAGAAGAAAGTCAATTACAGATTCCACATTTTCAAACTCTAGTTCAAACGTTCTGAAATCCCTATGAGGCAGGTTAAGCTGGAGTTAAGTGCAGGAAAACTGTTTCTCCAAGTTAATAGCCAGGGACCAATTTTCTGAAAACTCAGTTAGTAAATTTACCAAACAACTATCCAGGGTTACTATGTGTCATCAAGAATGGTGAATACTAACTAATCTTTCTCTCAAGGGGAGTCAAGTGGCTCCAAACTAGAAATATTCCTCTCCAATGTACCTAAGGACAGTGGAAAAAACCAAGGCTTCTCATGTGTGATCTGACTTTGTAATTACAATTTCAGGTAGCAATCATTAAGCACACACCCCACCCCTCAATTTACAGATAAGCATCTACCTACATGCACACACATCAGCCAGCAAAACAGGATTCATTACCAGTGCCGTGTCCTTCATCTGGGTCACCCATCACAGAAACATCCACCACACCATAATCTTAAAGAAATTATTACCATTTGTGGTTCTAAATAGGACCACATTATTTTCTACAAGTGTCAATTTTCCCCTGCAATATTACATTTTCCAACATTTAGTTTTTTAGCATTTTGCCATGACTATCTGTGTAGATTAGAAAGGTTCTTAACTGTTATCTGTAATAGATTTTGCCTGTAGCAAAATTCATGCAGGCATAATAGAAGAACAAAGTGTACTCTGATGAAATTGCAACCATAATTTCCAGATGCCTGACATTTATTGCTTATTGCTATTAGAATTCAAGTGCCTATTTGTTTTGTACTTTGCTTTTATTCTTGCATCACAACATATAATGGAAAAAAGATATTTTAAATGTTGGGTTAAGTATCACAGATCAACATGAGGAACCAACATAATCAACACTACTTAAACATACTCCTAGGCAATTAATTTTTAAAGAATCAAATTGGTGTACCACATCAAAATTTATAACGATACTGTAAAGGGTGTTACATTCTTTATTGTTTAATTAAAAGCAACATTTAGCACTCATGCAGCTAACCGTTAAGACATCACAACATAAAAGGTTTTGCTTATCATTATGGTGAGGGAGGTACAACTCACTCTTTACATTACACCTTTGATTACTAAATGTTAATTGTACTTTACTAGGCAGTATTAATTTATCAAATTATCAGAAAAAAACATGTAAAGGGCTGTAAGAAGCACAGCCCATCCTACAGTGACCAGTGCATCGATGATACTTGATAAATGGATAAACATTAGCATCTTAAAAGAAGAAAACAAATGGGTTTGATGTCTACTGTGTTGATGAAGTTGAATCTGGAAAATAACATAAAGCAAAACATGCATAGCTTCAGGGAAAGACACAAGAAAATGAATATATAGAACAGAAAGAAGAGACCCAGGAAATAAAAGCAAACGCAGAAAATTCTGCTGACAGATTCCAGCTTAAAAAAAGAACAGAAAAGAAAAGCATTTTCTAACCATGTGGGTTTAGACAGATACAGAGGCCTGAAGATTTGAGATGGGAGATGATGCCGTCAAAATCAAATTAGGATATTTGCCCAATACACAGGGCACTGCCCAAATGATAAAACTGTATTTAGGCTCTGAAGAAACAAAATGGCAGATGGAATGAGGGTATCTTGCCTCGACTGTCAAGTTCATGCACCAGCTAGACTGAATTAAAGAATGTCAAGGGAGCCTGGAAAGAATGTAGAGACCAACTAGGCTCTAACACAGGCCCTTTTTGTTAATTTCCCATCAGCAACTCCACATTAGGAAAAATGTTTTCTAATAAATTGCATACTCCAGAATGGCCAATATGATGCTATTGCAGCCATTACACAACTTCTATTGATCTTTTGTAATACTGAAAGTAGCTTTTGGACTCCAAGGCTGCTGTTCAGACCCCAACCCAATGTGTGCTATGATTGAAAACTGATGCCTTCCTAATACTGATGACAGTTAAGATTGACTCCAAAGATGGGAGTCACACCCAGGAAGCATCGAGACACTGGCTTGCTCTATAAAGGCAGCCCCACATATGAGTACTTTCTATAGAGGAAGGACCACAGCCTCATGAGCTACCAAAAAGTCTGCCTGGCCAGAGATCGTGCAAGTTTACATCCTCCTTGGAATTAGCTGAATGACCATGTAACAGGACACACACCTTCGAGCCTGGGTTCTGACATGACTTCTGGGTAACTGTTCTCAGAGGTTTATATGGCACTGGAGGATTCCAAAGAAACAAGGCACTACCACTCCCCTCAAGGAGCCTATAGAGAGCATGCCTGCGTGGCAAGACAGCAGAGTTACACAGAAGCCTGCAGATAGGTGAATACATCACAACTACTTTAATTTCTGTAGCTGACCTCATCTTCTTGATAGCACCTCATCCCTAGTCAAAAAAGGAAGGGAAGTGGAGAGACTCATGTCATCTATTGGTATTTCAGTTTCCTCTGATTCAAGTAGTGTCTTTGAGGTAATTGAGTCTCTTTCTGTAAACAGATTTTGGAAATGTCTTTGTGTACCGTGTGCGTGTGTGTGTGTGTGTGTGTGTGTGTGTGTGTGTGTGTATGCAGCAGATGGGAGTGCTGGATTCAATTCAATCAAACAATTCCATCAAAAAACATTTCTTGGACCTTTGATGAGTTTGAATACAGGCTTAGGATGGTGGATCTAACCACATAGGCAGCCTCTATTGATACAGGAAAAGAGGCACCCGGATAAAATAGCATTTTAGGAAAATGATTCTAGTAGGATTAATATGAAAGAGCAAAAATTCCAGTTCTGTAATCCAGGCATAGGTTACTACAGCAACGCCATGGTAGTGGTAGCAAGAGTGGACATGAGACATGGGTCTGAGAAACACTTATGTGGAGGTCAAGATGTAGGAAGGAAGAGGACGAAGAAGGGAGAAGGGGAAGGGAACAAGGTTGGCATTAGAAATGAACAGCCTGGTTGGGGTATTTCTTTGACATATTACATTTCAAGAGTCAACAGGACTTGCAAATAAATTTTTTTTCTAGGTATTGGATTTTTATGACACATATTGCAATTAAAACTATGAGAATCACTAATGCTAAACCACTCTATTTGATAGTTCCCTGAAACTTACAATATATCAAGGCAGGAGAATAAAGGATCAGAGAGAAGACTCTGTCCACCCATCCTAACTTCCATTTCTCAAATTACTGAATGACTGAACACAATAGGATGGTAACTTTTTTTTGGAAGGTAACTTTTTTTAGTGAAATGTCTTAGACATTAAAAAATAAAGATATGGAGAGCAATATAATCAATATTTACATAAACACAAGAGGATCATTTTTGAAACGTGCTTTGAAGAACAATTAATTCAAGGGGAACACTGCTAGAGACCGCTTAACATCAAATATGGCATTCTTCTTCATCAATCCCTCAAAAATTTTATGTAAAGAATTTTCTGTGACTGCTTTACTCCTTTTTTCTATGAAGTGAGTCACCAGATCCCAAAATTGCCTTAATTTCTTAGGAGAAATAATACATAAATGTGGTTTTAAGATCCAAAAGGCACACAATATTATAAAATTTTAAAGTACAAGTCTCCCTTCTTGCCCAACTCTTTGCATTTCAAAGATAAATATCATTAAAATTTTCTCATATGCCCTTCCAGATATAATGATCATAAAAATGTAAAACCATACTTATATTTTCATTTTTAAATTTACACAAATGAAATCATGAAGACCATTTTATAGCTTGGTTATTTTGTTCAATAACACATCCTAGGATTATTTTATGTTTGCACACACCACTCTAACACGTTGTTTTCAACAACTGGTTGAAAGTACCTTATTTATCTAGCTGGTCCCCCTTGATGAATGTGTAGGTTGTTACCAATGTTTCATTGTTACACTCAATGCTCAAATGAACAATGTCTTGCATGTGCCTTGGTATATGTTTATAAGAATATCCATAATGTAAATTCTTAAATATGGAGTATCTAGGTCAATGGAAACGTTCATTTTTAATTTTAGTCAATATTGCCAGATTACTCTTGAAAATGGCTTTAACAACTTACATTTTCACCGAAAGGTGTGAGAGTACCTTTATTAATCTGGCTGGTAAAACTAGATGTCATTGTCAATTTGACTTGTTTCTTTAATTACAGAGTATGACTGAATATCATTTTGTAGGGAGATCAGTTCTTTGTATTCTCTTTCAAATTAACTTACGAAGACCTGGGAACATGCCATTGGAAAGCCTTTTTATGAAGTGCCTTCCCTCGTTTCACATTGAGAGTTGTTACTTAAGAGGTTTCCCACGCTTGTGAAATTCCAAGAGTCACGTCTCTGGTTCAGTGAGCCCCATTAAGAGGCCACATTTCCAACAAACATGAACAGTGCTGAAGTTGTCTTATGAAAGCAACAAAATAGAACCAATGATATTTACATCACACTCAACTTAGGAAACACAACAGTTGGTGAAATCACCTGAAAAGAGATATTTAGTGTCTTGAGGGAGAGATCTGATTAAAGAGAAATGATGGATGGCTTAGCAGTAAAACTAATGTTAGGATACTGTCTACAGCATAACTGAGACAGAAAAGTTAATACCAAGAATATAATTTACCTGTGCTTCTAGATACTGCCAATTTTTTGAAAGTTCTTTTTATATTCATAAACAGGGGAATGACTGAATGGTAGTACTGAGATGACACCTTTAGCAGATGTAAAGATACAGATATAATGAATTCAGGTAATCTCACCTGTAATTAAAGGAATTCAATCCATTAATGTCTTCAACGCAGACTGCATATTAGAGTCATTTGGAGAGCCTTTAAAATCATTTTAATGCCTATGTCCTACCCCAAACCCAGTGAGTAAAGACTCAACCATTGGTATTATTTTTAAAAGTTTCCCTGGAGATTCTAATGTGCAGCCACATTTTAGAACCTCTTTATTCAGAGTATCTATGAACAAAAGTTATCTGAAAAGGAATTCGGTGGAAAGAGACTTTATTCCAGTGAACAGTTTGCAAACCAGGGAGACACAGCCTTGGGCATAATATAAAGATGCCATGCTTTCCAGAAAACAAAGAGGGTTTGAGTTTTGTACCAAAAGTTTCTGCCTAGGCTCCCAATCAGATCTGTTTATACAAATGAAGGGCTAAAACGATTTGATATAGTTTGGATGTTGTCCCCTCTAAATCTTATGTTGAATTGTAATAACCAGCACTGGAGGCAGGGCCTGGTGTAGGGAGGGGTTTCAGTCACGAGGCTGGATACCTCATGGCTTGATGCTGTCCTCAGGATAGTGACTTCTTGCAAAATCTGGTTATTTGAAAGTGTGCAGCACTTCCCAAAGCTTGCTCCTGCTCTGGCCATGTGAGATCCCTTCTCCTCCTTCCCCTTCCACCATGATTGCAAGCTTTCCGAGCCCTCCTCAGAAGCTGAGCAGATGCCAGCATCATGCTTCGTATAAAGCCTGCAGAATCATGAGTCAATTGAACCTCTTTTCTTTGTAAATTACCAAGTCTCAGGTATTTCTTTGTAGCAATGCAAGACCAGCCTAACACACAGGCTTATTTCTGATTGGTTGGTGCAGTTGAGTTCTGATGGTCAATACAGTGGATCCCTGATTGTTTGATACAGCTGAGCCCCCAATTCACCACCTGAGGTGAGCTCTGATTGGTTGGCTTCCAAACCTCAAACCAGAAGTCTCTGTTAAATGTTTCTTCCAAACTGCAGGTGGTGGTGCAGGGGGCTCTGACTGTGGTTTATCTTGGCACTGTCAACAGGAACTGGTTTGATTTGATTATAGAAAGAGACATCCTGTAATACTTTTACAACATCTTTCTGAGAATACAGTGTATAAGATTGCTCCCTCACCCAGCCATGACCACCTAGTTCTGTTTTAACTTTGAACAATTCAGTTAGCCATGGGGCATCCATTTTGTCTGTTGGCTTGGGTATCCTTTAACAAATCCTATAGGATCTAGCTGTATTCTCAAGAACTTCCTGAGGTCTGTAGCTAATTTAGAGACCTCTTTCTGGAGACCTCATGACTAAGCATTGCTATGACAATCTAAAAATCAGTATTTATCATGGTATCTACTAGGAAACCATGCATACAGAAGAGTTAGCCACATCAGACATATAGGATATGATGAAGGTAAAGTTCCTGTCGGTCCTTGAAGTAATTAACGTAAACAAGCAAACAAAACAGCTTACTCTACTGATGGGAATATAATCTGGAAGTCAATTTAGCAATTTAGCAACAGATAGGCAAATGTGCCTATAAACCCTGTTTCTAGAAATCATAGATAGGCAGAAAGATACAGCATGGACTACAATGTTGACTGCTGCATTGTTTATACCACAAGATTGGAAATAATCCATTCAATGGAACATCAAATAAGTTCAAATTCAGCTACACAATGGAACATTATACAGTAATTTAAAACAATATACTTAAAAGTATAATATGGTGAGCAAGTTAAGCATGTATTGACATAAAATAAATGGCATGAAGTTTTCAAAATATATTTTCAGTGGAAACGCAAGTTGTAAACTTGGATATGTAGCATGATCTCTTTTCTTTATAGATTGTGTAACAGTACATTTATCAAAGACTCCCTTCATCCAGGTATAGTTCTATCACTCATCCTTACAACCCCTGTGATGTTACTATTTTTAACCTCATTTTAAAGCTGAAACCATTGGGACACAGAGAGGTTACTAATGTTTCTGAAGTCATACAGCCAGTAAGTGTCAGGACAGGCCTTTCAAATCCACACAGTCTGGTCCAGAGCTCATGCTCTTAACTGTGACACTATACTGCTGATATTGCGTTTATGTGCCCAAAATTTCTAGAAGGATAAAGCGAAGTTTTATTTTCTACCTTTTGCTAATAAATATCTTATTTTCCCCATCATGCTCATATGTGACATAGTTTTTAAATGTTAATTTTTGTAACTTTTATTTTAAGTTCAGGGGTACAAGTGCAGGCTTGTTACATAGGTAAGCTTGTGTCCTGGGGGTTTACTCTACAGATTATGTCATCTCCCAGGTACTAAACCTAGTACCCATTAGTTGTTTTTCCTGATTTTCTCCCTCCTCCCACCCTCCACCCTCCAAAAGACCCCGGTGTGTGTTGTTCCCATGTCCATGTATTCTCATCACTTAGCTTCCCCTTATAAGTGAGAACATGCAGTATTTAGTTTTCTGTTCCTGTATTAGTTTGCTAAGGATAATGGCCTCCAGTTCTATCCATGTCCCTGCAAAAGATGTGATCATGTTAAAAGTTAATGTATTTTTAAAGAAATGGAAAATCCTTTGACAACACTAAATAAAAATTAAAATGAAAATAAAAGCTCTTTTTAAGTTGGAGGCTGAGCTTGGTGAGGTGTGTTTTTAAAAGACCATTAGTTCACTGAGTACCAAGAGCCTGAGAAACTGCTTGGGTGATTTGACTAATAAAGGCTGGTCTGTTATCAGACTGTATAGAGGTGGGAAGGCCAAACCGAGGAATTATGTCTGACAGAAGGGAAGAAATGACCATGGTGGCCTTCTCAGACTCTGTGGAAAAGGCCTCTACCCATCCAGTGAAAGTGTCTACCCAGACCAAGAGGTATTTTAGTTTCCTGACTCGAGGCCTGTGAGTAAAGTCAATTTGCCAGTCCTGGGTGGGGGCAAATCCCTGAGCTTGATGTGTAAGGAAGGCAGGGGGCCTGAACAATCCCTGAGGAGTAGTAGAATAGCAGATGGAACACTGAGAAGTGATTTCCTTAAGAATAGATTTCCACGATGGAAAGGAAATGAGAGGTTCTAAGAGGCGGGCTAGCAGCTTGTAACTTACATGGAAGAGGTTATGAAATGATGACAGGATAGAATGGGCCTGTGAGGCTGGAAGGAGATATTTTCCTTGGTCCAAGAACCATTTGCCTTGTGTGGGAAGAGATTGATAGGTGGGAATTTCAGTGGGGGAGTAGGTGGGAGTAGCCAGATAAGAAGGAGAAAAACTGCCATGAGGGATAGAAGTTGGAATGCTAGCTGCTTTTCTGGCTAACTTATCAGCATAAGCACTGTCCTAAGCGATGGGATCTGATGCCTTTTGATGGCCTTTGCAGTGAATGACTCCAGCTTCCTTTGGAAGTAAAGTGGCTTTGAGAAGTGTTTTTATTAAAGAGGTATTAATGATGGAGGACTTTTGCATAGTAAGGAAATCTCTTTCAGCCCATATAACAGCATGGTGGTGCAGGATATGGAAGGCATATTTAGAGTCAGTGTAAATATTGACACGTAGTCCTTTTGCAAGAGTGAGGGCTCGAGTTAAGGCAATGAGTTCGGCTAGCTGACAGGTAGTGGAGGGGGGCAGAAGGTATATGCAGAAGGTATATGTGAGGAAGAAAATAGATTTTGGAAGTTATGAGAACTGTAGAGAGTGAGTTGAGCATAGCTTGTGATTTTGAGGGCCTCTAAAAGTATTAAGGCAGCGGCAGCTGCTGCACACAGACATGAGGGCTAGACTAAAACAGTAAGGTCAAGTTGTTTGGACAGAAAGGCTATAGGGCGCAGTCCCGGCTCTTGTGTAGGAATTCTGACCGCACTAACCATGCCTAGGAAGGAAAGGAGTTGTTGTTTTGTAGAAGGGATTGGGGTTTGGATGATTAGCCAGACATGATCAGCTTACAGGGGGCAGAGAATGCCCTTAATAGAGAGCAGCTAAGCATCTTCCCAGTAGGAAAAGTTGAGGAGATGACTCGAGATTTCTGAAACTGCCACAGGTCTTAGACTGGTGGGTATTTTCCCTGCCTGTTGTAATACAAAACAGAAGATGCAAATGTACAGAATGAGAAAGACAACAACAGTGAGAAGGTGAACTTCTGCAAGGTAAGACTTCTCTCAGGTCAGGAAGAAATTCTGAGCAGAGCTGCTTGGGACAATGGGGCCAGTGACGAGCTATGGAAAATAAAGAAACCAGGTAAGTGGGAAGGTTAGGTAATCTTCGAAGGAAAGAAGGAGAGACAAGACACCACTTATGTAATACCTTAAGGAGAGGGTCTATGAAGGTGCTTCCTTTTGGCCCTACCCCGTCCTCTGTAAATTTTGATGAGCATCTTGGGCTGGGCAGAGGCCAAAGGTGAAAAGTCTGGAGCAGTCAACTTATTGACGAAGGAATGGAGTTAATCAGAGACAAGTGAAATTTCAGAGCAGTGGCTTGGAGCTCAACAGAAGCTAGACACCAAAGGTCTCCAGTGGTGCTGAACAGCCCAGTTATTCTCCTGAAAAGGTCATTGATAGGATTAGAACAAAGCATTCAAGGCTCTGCCCCCACACCTTTCCTACTGGCCCAGTGGCCGGATCTTCTGACTCCCTGAGGTCATTAGTGTCTGCCAGCCAATGATTCTATCTAGGTAGGAATTCTCCCGCTTCCACAAAACTTCAGTAGGTGGAACTGCTTGGAAAAGTAGGGCATTCATTCTGGGTTAGAGAAAACTTCTAGAATATATTTAAAGAAGTGCATCTGGCTATGTTCCTTTCAGGAACATACAGTCATCAAACTATGATAACAAGTTCAAACTATTGCCTAATAAAAATACTTTCGGAGTAAGTGACTGATTTATGACTGATATGTAAATTTGTGCTTCTAAAATACTTGAAGGTGCTAGAAAACAGAAATTAAAACAGATTCTATTCAGTATTTTAAGTACATTACCCCATTTTATTCCCACTTCAGCTTCTATTTTAAGAAAGACTCTTTCTTCATAGATTCCCCATCCTTATTACTGACAAGATAAGGTTAAATAAATAAAGTTTCTGTCTACATTTTGCTTATCTTAGCAGATGCACTCAACATTTTCACAAGTTCACACTTCGAATTATAGCACAAGACCACATTCAAGCCAAGAAATGATTGTCTTTCACAATCGTTCAACAACCAGAACTCTGAAATTAATGAGTTTAATAGTAGATTTCTCCTCCTCTGGACACTAGCCCCTTTCTGTCATTAGATACAACATATGATATCTGAGAAGCATATGGAAATTATGCACAGACATGCACCCAGATTGTAAAAACCTCATTGTAGAAATAGCTATTCCTACACTAAGTACTCATATAACTTTTTTGTTTCCTTATTATTGCAGTACATAATTCACTCCTCTGTAAGTTCAAATTGCATATTACAGCACATTAATGTTGGTCTTCCTTTATAGCAACCTATCATATGGTTAGCATTCTCATTTATAATCTAAATTACTTTTATTTCTCCAGCCATTTCACCTAACTACTTTGAATCAAACAGGAAAATGATCACATATCACAAGTTGCTGAAATATACAGCAGTAAGAGTGGGCTGGATTACATTACCCATTTGCATGGGCATACCCATCTCTGAGTAAGGCGGCCCTTCTGCATCAATAAGGCCAACAGGGATGTAGTGTCAGAGCTTCCTGACTTCAGCAACAGCCCCAACAGTGGCAGAATTGAGGATCAGCCATGCCTTTAATAAATACTCCAGACAAACATATTTTAAAAGGGCTGGAGAAAAGGAAGGAACCCTTTAACATTGTCTTCTTTATGCAAGGAAAAGATTGAAAATCTTGGCCTTAACAAGTCTGGCTGCTGCCTGTCTCTCTGGTCTTATCGTGGTTCCCTCTATTTTCCTCATCACACAGCAGCTCCACTGGCCTCCTTGCAGTCCTTTGAATGAACCATGCTCCCCTTCACCACAGGGCCTTTGCACATGCAGTTCTACTTCCTGACATATTCCTCCCTCATCTCCTGCCTTCCCTACCTAATTCCATCTCTTTTTCCAAAACTCTAATTCAGTCATCAGTTCCTCAGGGACCCCTTTCCTGGCCTTTCTCATCAAACCACTTTGTTTTAATATATAATCCTGGACAGGATAATTTATTAAAATATTGTTATTATATGTACTTTATTATATGTATATGTATTATATGCATTGTATATTTATTATGTGTTTCTTTCCTTCCCACATTTCAGGGCTGCAGCATGGCCTTTCTGTTCTTCCCTGTCTTGCCAACTTTTTCAGAGCAGAAAGCAAAAGCATTTTGCCTTAGCAAGCAGTTTAAGGTCATTGAAGAGATAATGCTAGGTATCCAGGGAGGAGAGTAAGGGAGGAGCAGACAGCAAGAAACTATCAGCAGTGGAGACTTTCTCTTTGCTCATATATAGTCCCCTGAAGAGATGGCAAGACCTCTAAAGAATCCTCTAGAGAATTGTACATATGAGGCCAAAATAGCATGGCTCTGGCCTTCAAGGACACTTCTGCATTGGACAAAAGAGACATGACCATGAGATCCTGGAATCTGGGGGCCACTATTGCACTGTCCAGGTGCCACTAGAGCACCCTGGGCCTTGAGTGACCTGGAAGGGAGAAGCAGCCCCAACGCAGATGGAGACGGAACTCCCTACCTGCACCTGGATGGGGGAGAATGAAGATGATTTAGAAGAAAAGATGTGATACTCTTTGCAAATCTGAGTTTACCTACTATACCCATCTTCCTGCTTAAAACTTTGACTCATCTATATTTTTCAAATTTCCAAGTGTACGATTTTTTCATTGATTTTTTTTCCTCCTCTTGTCTCTAACCTCCATAAGGGTAGGGATCATGTCTGTGTTTGCTCATCATCCTACCCCCACACTGGCACAGAGCCTAACACAGAATGGATATCCCTATATTACTTCCTTAGATGTACTTGCATGCAGTAAAATGCACAGATCCTAAGTGAACATTTTGGTGAATTTTGGCACAAGTGTATAATCATGTAAGCAACACCTCCATCAAGGAATAGAGCATCAATTCATCACCCTAGAAACTTCCCTGTGTGTCTCTATCCAATTTTATCCCTTTTCCTATCAGAGGCAAACACCGTTCTCATTTCTATCCTCAAAAATGAATCCTGCCTGCCCTTTAACTACATATAAATGTATTCGTACAGTATAAAATATTTTGCATCTTGATTGATTCATTCATTGTAATGTTTTTGAGATTTACTCCTGTTGTGTGAGTTAGCAATTTGTTCCTTTTTGCTGCATAATATTTCACTGCATGGATTTACCGCAATATGTTTATCTATTTTCTTTTTCTTTTCTTTTCTTTCTTTCTTTCTTTTTTTTTTTTTGTTTTTTTTTAAGGTAGCATCTCTCTCCAACCCAGGCTGGAGTGCACTGGTGCAAACCTCGCTCAATGCAGCCTCTACCTCCTAGGCTTAAGTGATACTCCCACCTCAGCCTCCCAATTAGCTGACACTACAGGCATGTACAACCATGCCTGGCTCATATTTGTATTTCTTTTTCTTTACAGATGGGGTCCTGCTGTGTTGTTCAGGCTGGTATCCATTTTCTTGTCAATGGAATTCAAATTGTTTTGGATTTTTAACTATTATGAATAAAGCTGCAATGAGCATCTCACACAAGTCATTTTGTAGAAATATGCTTCCATTTCTTTTGGGTAAGTAGGTAGAAGTTGAATTGCTGAATCATAGGAATCAACTTTGTAAGATGCCTGTTTCCCAAAGTGGTTGTATAATTTTATACTTCCACCAACAATACACAAGCAATCCAGTTGCTCTGCATCCACTAGCATTAGACGTTTTTTTAATTTTATATATTTTAGTGAGTATATAGTAGTTTCTTATTGCGGTTCTAATTTTCATTTCCCAGCAAACTTACAATGTTGAGTATCTATTTATGTACTTAGTCATCATTAATGTATTCTCTTTTGTGTATTATCTACGTCACTCACCCATTTTATATTGGGTTGTTTCTCTTTTGTTATTTACTTATAGAAGTGTTTTTGTATATTCCTCATATGAGTTCTTGTGGATATATATGGAGCACTTTGTATAAAGTATTGCGAATGTTTCCCCCATTCTGTGGCTTAACTTTTCCTTTCCATAATGGTGACTATAGAGGATCATAAATTTTAAATTTTGATGAAGTCAAGTTTATTCTTTTTCTTTTATGGTTTTGCATTTTGCATTCCATCTAAACATTTTTCACTATGCCCAGGTCATATATTTACCAAGTTTTTTACATCTAAGAGCTTTATAGTTTCAGCTTGTACATTTTGAATTGTAATCTATTCCCAGTTAATTTTTTTGTGTGGTATAAGGTAAGAGTTAAAGTTCACAGTTTTTCCCCATACAGGTAAACAGTTATCTGGCATCATTTGCAGAAGACATTTTCCTTTTCCCATTGAATTGTATTAGTATTTCCTTCAAAAATCAATTGACTATATGCATGCCTGCAGTCTTAGCTACTTGGGAGCCTGAGGCAGGAGGATGGTTTGAGCCCAGGCTGTAATGCACTATGATTGCACGTGTGAATAGCCACTGCACTCTAGCCTGGGCAACATAGGGAGACCCCATCTCTTACAAAAAATAAAAGCCTAAAAAATTTTTTTAAAATCAATTGATTGTGTAAGTGTGGATGTTTTATTAAACTTTCTTTTTTTGTTTCATTGATCTATATGTCTATCCTTACATCAGTACTACATTATCATGATTACTGGAGCTTTATAGTAAGTCTGAAAATCACGTTGTGTAAGTCTTCCAATTTGTTCTTTTTCAATATTGTTTTGGCTATTTTAGGTTCTTTACATTTCTATGTAAATTTTAGTAGGAGCTTCTCTGTTTCTACCCAAAATCTGATGAGATTTGTACTGAAAATACATTAACTCTAAAGAACGATTTCTGTAAAATTTGACATCTTTACAATAAGGAGTCTTCCAATACATTAGTATGATAAAATTCCATTTAATTAGGTCTGCTTTATCCTCAAAAGTGTTTTACAGATTGCAGCGGAGCGGTTTTTTTTTTTTTTTTTACATCTTTTGTTAAATTTATTTCTAGATAGTTGTTTATTTTTATGTTATTATGAGTGACATTTTATAATTTTTCTTTCTTTTTTTTTTTTTTGAGACGGAGTTCGGCTCTGCCACCCAGGCTGGAGTGCAATGGTGCGATCTCGGCTCACTGCAACCTCTGCCCCCGGGGTTCAAGTAATTCTCTGCCTCAGCCTCCTGAGTAGCTGGGATTACAGGTGCCCACCACCACATCTGGCTAATTTTTTGTATTTTTAGTAGAGACGGGGTTTCACCACCTTGGCCAGGCTGATAATTGAACTCCTGACCTCATGATCCACCCGCCTCAGCATCCCAAAGTGCTGGGATTACAGGCGTGAGCCACCGTGCCCTGCCTATAATTTTTCAATTGTTTGTTGCTAATATATAACTATACAACTATTTTTGTACATTGGCTTTTTATACTAAAACCTTGCTAAATTTACATATCAGATCTAGTTTTTTTTAGATTATTTTATACACAATCATGTCACTATGTATAGTAGCATTTTGTCATAAAACTCCAGTACAATATTTAAGAGAAATGGCTCAGAATTGAAATATTTGCCTGTTATCGATCTTAGGATCAATGTTTTCAATATTTCACCATTAAAAATTATGTTAACAAATGATGCAGTTTTCAATATTTCACCATTAAGAATGATAATCTCTTTTTCAGAGATCCCTATACAGTATTAGATAAGGAAATGCTTTACTATTTCTAATTTGCTCAGATATCATTTTTCTTCCTTTTTTCCTAACCATAAATGTGTATTGGATTTTGTCAAATGCTTTTTCTGCACATCTTAAGATCACTATATGATTTTTCTCTTTTACTTTGTAAATGCAGTGAATTACATTAGTTTTTGAATGTTAAAACAACATTGCATTCCTGGAATTAAACCCAGGTCATGATGTACTATGCTTTTTACATATTGCTATTCTAATTGCTAATATTATGTTAAGGATTTTTGAGCCTATTTAATGAGGTGTTATGACCTGTAGTTTTCTTTTCATGCAATATCCTTGTCAGGTCTTGGTATGCCGGCTTTATAAAATGAGTTAGAAAATCCCTTCTCCTCTATTTTCTAAATGTGTGTGTATAAAATTAGTATTTCTTCCTTAAAGATGTAATGGAATTCACCAGTGAAGTTGTTGGAGTTAGAAGTTTTCTTTGGGAAAAGACTTAATAGTGACTTCAATTTTAAACAAATATTTAAAGATATTCAGGTTATTTATTTCCTTTTAAATAAATTTTGATGAGTTGTATTTTGTAAGAAATTTTTCCATTTCATCTATGTTATAAAATTAGGTGACATGAAATATCTACGATTATAGCTTCTTTCCTTGTTAATGTCAGTTTTTGATTTTCTCTCTTGTTTCCTAATCAGCTTTGTTAGGCATTTATCAATTTTATTAATATTTATTAAAAATAATCAACATTTGGACTTTATCTATTGTTTTCTATTCTAATATTTATTTCCTTCTTTTGCTTACCTTGGGCTTACTTTGCTCTATTTTTCTTAGTTTCTTAAGGTAGAAGATTATATAATTTATTTTACGTCTTTCTTCTTTTCTTATATAAGCATTTAGAGCTACGATTTTCTTTTTTAACTTTTATTTTAAGTTCAGGGGTACATGTGCAGGTTAGTTATATAGGTAAACTTACGTCATGGGGGTTTGTTATACAGATTACTTTGTCACTCAGGTATTAAGCTTTGTAGCATTAGTTATTTTTTCTGATCCTCTCCCTCTTCCCAACCTCCACCCTCCCAGTGTGTGTTATCCCCCTCTATGGGTCTATGGATTCTCATCATTTAGCTCCCACTAATAAGTGACAACATGCGGAATTTGGTTTTCTGTTCCTGTGTTAGTTTGCTAAGGACAATGGCCTCCAGCTCCATCCATGTTCCTGCAAAGGACATGATCTCTTTTTTTATGGTTGCATACTATTCCATGGTGGTGTATATGTACCACAATTTCTTTATCCAGTCTACCATTGATGAGCATTTAGGTTGATTCCTTCTCTTTGCTATTGGGAATAATGCTGCAATGAACATACACATGCATGTGTCTTTATGATAGAATGATTTATATTCCTTTGGGTATATACCCAGTAATAGGATTGCTGGATCAAATGGTAGTTCTGTTTAGCTGTTTGAGGAATCGCCATACTGCTTTACACAATAGTTGAACTAATTTACACTCTCACCAACAGTGAATAAGTGTTCCTTTTTCTCCACAACATCTCTAGCATCTGTTATTTTTTGGCTTTTTAATGATAGCCATTCTGACTAGTATCAGATGGTATCTCATTGTGGTTTTGGTTTGCATTTATCTAATGATCAGTGATGTTGAGTTTTTTTCCATATGCTTGTTGGTCACATGTATGCCTTCTTTTGAAAAGTGTGTTCATGTCCTTTGCCCACTTTGTAATGGGGTTGTTTGGTCTTTTTCCTTGTAAATTTTTTTAAGTTCCTTATAGATGCTAGATATTAGACCTTTGCAGATGCATAATTTGCAAAATTTTTTCTCTTATTCGGTAATTTGCCTATTTACTCTGTGGATAGTTTCTTTCACGGTGCAGAAGCTCTTTAGTTTACTTAGATCCCATTTGTCAATTTTTGCTTTTGTTGCAAATGCTTTTGATGTCTTGGTCATGAAATCTGTGCCCATTTCCATGTCCCGAATGGTATTGCCTATGTTGTCTTCCATGGTTTTTATAGTTTGGGGTTTTACGTTTAAGTCTTTATAAATATATGATTTTCTCTCTGCACAACTTTAGCAGCACTCTACAAATTGTTGTATTTGTGTTTTCATTATAATTTAGTTCAATAGTTTTCTAATTTTCCTTATAAATTCTTCTTTGAATCATGTCTTATTTAGAAGTGTGTTGCTTATTTTCCAAGTATTTGAAACATTGTAGATATATTTCTTTTTTTTTTTTTTTTTTTTTTTGAGATGGAGTTTTGCTCTTGTCACCCAGGCTCGAGTGCAATGGCGTGATCTCGGCTCACTGTAACATCCACCTCCCGGGTTCAAGCGATTCTCCTGCCTCAGCCTCCCAAGTAGCTGGGATTACAGGCATGAGCCACCATGCCTGGCTAATTTAGTATTTTTAGTAGAGATGGGGTTTCCCCATGTTGGTCAGGCTGGTCTCAAACTCCTGACCTCAGGTCATCCGCCCACCTCCAAGTCCCAAAGTGCTGGGATTACAGGCGTGAGCCACCGCGCCCAGCAAAACACTGTAGATATATTTCTATTACTGATTCCTAGTTTAATTCTATCACAGTCAGAAAACATATTTTGTATGACTTCAATGTTTGAAATTTTGAGGAGCTTGTTTTACGGCTAAGCATATGGTCTATCCTAGTTAATCTTTTATGTTTCCTTGACAGGAATGTGTATTCAGTATCTGTTGATTATAAGAATTTTATAAACATCTATTAGGTCATGTTGGTTGATACTGTTGTTCAAATCATCTATAACCTTTCTGATATTTTTGGTCTACTATTCTATCAGTTACTGAGAAAGGAGTGTTGAGGTCCCCATCTCTGACTGTGAATCAATCTATTTCTACCTTTGCTGCTGTCAATTTGTATTGCATATAGTTTAATGCATTATTATTAGATGCATATACATTTAGGATTGTCGTGTCTTCTCAATAACTTGGCTCTATTATTATAAAATGCCCCTCTTGTGTCTGGCAATAGTTGCTGTTTTGAAGTCTACTTTGTTTGACATTAACATACATATACAGATTTTCTTATGAGTAGTATAGTAGCCAAAGGTCTGAGAACCAGGGATGGGAAATACAGGGGATAGAAGAGACCACTGGTGTAAGTCCCAGAGTCTGAAGGCCAGAGAACCAGGAGCTCCATCCAATGTCCCAAATCAGAAGAGAGAGGTCCCAGTTAAGAATGCAAAGAGAATTAACCCTTCCTCTATTTTCTTGTTCTATTTGGGCCCTCAACAAGTTGGGTGATGCCTACCACTCTGATGAGGGTGGATTCAGTCTGCTGATTCACATGCTAACCTCTTCCTGAAACACCTTTACAGACACACCCTAAAATAATGTTTTACCAGCTACCTGAGCATCACTTAGCCCAGTTAAGTTGACACACATAATTAACCATCAAAATTTGACTCTGTGTGTGTGTGTGTGTGTGTATTTTCTATAGCTGCTCAAGGGAATCACAAGACATATTTATTAAGTGAGTAAATGAGGTGGTACAGCATGCACCCACCTACAATCTACCCTACCAATCATTCACCAAACCTAGTAGAACTCCATGAGCCCTAGCACAAACAAAATTGCCAGTATGTCAGTGGAAGGGAAATTCTTCCAATTCAGGTTCACACTGTGATATTAAAAAATTTTTATCTCAATCTAATACAATCGCTTATTAGTCTTTTTGCACTTTTACTCCTTCATTAATTCAATTATCTTTCCATTTAACAAACATACATTTCCTTCTTAGGCTATATGTTAGAATTGACTTTGAACATTTAAAAAATTTAATACCTATAATTCCAACACTTTGGGAAATCAGGCAGGCAGAATGCTTGATCTCAGGAGTTCAAGACCAGCCTGGGCAACAAGGCAAAACCCCATCGCTACTAAAAATACAAAAATTAGCAAAGTGTGGTGGTGTGAACCTGTAGTCCCAGATACACAGGAGGCTGAGGTAAGAGAATCACTTGAACCTGGGTGGCCAAGGTTGCAGAGAGCCACTGCACTCCAGCCTGGGTGACAGAGTGAGCCCCTGTCTCATAAAAACAAAACAAATCAGAAAAACTACAGAGGCCTAGACCCTATCCAAGGCCTACTAAATCAAGATCTTCAGAGAACTTTTAACACACATAGTTAAGAACCACTAAATTTTTGAATGCCCACTAAATTCTGGACACTAGCTACCAGCATTAATCCTTTAATGCCCCCCACCTGCATACCACAGAACAGATTTCCTAACAGCAATGAACAGTATGCACAAGTTCCTTATCTCTCCTTCTGATTATGTGCAAGGTCAGAAAGGAAAAAAAAATTAGAAACTGAAGAAGCTCATTAGCTTTCTAATAGGTCTTTTTTTTTTTCTTTCATTTCCTTTTCTTTTTTGGAGCTTGGCCCCCTTGAGGCACATTAAAACACAAACTAACTCCCATGGGGAATAGGAGAAGAAGGAGTGATGGAACTGCAAAGGCAGACCCTAATAGCAGCCAAAGAAAATATTAGAAAACAAAACAAAAAAAGAAGAAGTAATAAAGAAAAGAAAAAGCCTTACCAATAAGGTACTAGAAAAGATTTCTTTAAAATGGAACATTACCTCTTCACATTTCTTTCTTGTGTGCTCCATGAATACAGCAGACTATAGCTTGTGCATTCTTGAAATGTCTGAATTATTTCTCAGCCATTGGCCCCCATCTCTACTCAGTATGTGTTTTGTTTGATCTACCATGACCAGCTAGAAGTCAGCTGATACTCACTGCCTCAAGTGGAATTTTGAGGCCCCACAAGACCATGAGGAAGATCTGTAACCACAATCATACTCTTCAGTCCAGAGAATTCTTTTCTTTTTTCCATAGAGGAGAGCGTGTTTCGGGGTTTACTATTTACTCTGAAAACTTGGTTTGATTACATCTCTCAAAAGCCCTGCAGGAAGAATGCACACGTGTTTCTTGGGTAAGGAAAGCCAAAACATTTTTCTACTCATTTTTGTTGCCCTGGAAGCTGTACAATCCAGGAGAAGGAAATAAATACAGAAAACTACATCAAGGAACAGTTCATGAAATGAATAAGTAGTATATGAAACCATGCTAGGGAAATGTATTAGTGCCCCTAATGATAGCTCAGACACTTGCTGCTCTCCAAATTGCTAGTATTATGTGTGCAGTGCAGAAAGCATTCATAACACATAATTTTACTCTGCTTTTGTTTCCATTCCATCCTTTGGATTGACAAGAATCTCATGATCAGATTTGCAAGGCCTCCTGGAAAATCAGGTAATGCTGTAGTTCATAAAAACAGATAAATAGCACCAGGTACATATCACCTGTTTACAAGTGCCCAGGGACCAGAATTCATAATGCTTACCAACACCTTTCTTATGCACTGTGGTCCTGAATGCCAGCCATAGGGAAACCAGGGATTTACACATGGGTTAGAAGGTTGATTGCCTTGAACTGAGTGTGCCTTGTAAGCTGTTCACACTAGCTTATAGAAAGGCCTGCTGGGAACAGACAAAATAAGCTGCCTCCACCCCAGGGTTTCAAATTGGAGGCCTGCAGGCTGATATGGCCTGGTCAGGGCTTCCAAAGCCCTCTGTGCACCTATGTATGAATTACAAAAGGACATCCCTTCCTCTGGGTAGGCCTACTCTGGGATCCTCAGCCAAAACACAACTTATGCAGTTGTACATGGTGGTTCTGATTGCCTCCTTCTCTGGTTTTGTCTGTTTTTTAAAAATCAGAGTACTACACACACACACACACACACACACACACACACACACACACTCACACTCCCCATGGATTTACATCTTCCCTTTCCTTGACAAATTGGAATTATGGAACACTGAACTCAAATTACCACCTGGCAGCTGTCAATGAAGACGAATAGCAGCTGCTCATTTGAGTTGGGCCACATGCTCTTCAGTTCACCTCAGTCAACGCCACTTCCTATTGTTTCCCACCTAGCTCACTTCACTCTGATTTAACCTGCTGGGCACTGAAGGCATCAGAGTTTGCAACCACCTTCAAGGTCTTCAAAGCCTCACTCCACATATTTAATCAGGGTTAGGTTTCTGTCTTGCCTCCCTAAAACAGTAAAAAGAGATTTAATAGGGCCAGCATTGCCTTTATAGAGAAGTATTAATGGTGAGATATGGAATAAGATTTCCCTGAGCTTAAAGGTCTCTCCTACCTAAATGACCTCCACCTGAAATCTGATTCTCACTCTCTCTTGCCATTCCTTTAAGGTTCAGCCTGAAGAGCACCTCCTCCAAGAAACCCTCTCAGAGGCCTCCACCTTCATGAATCAACCTAAACATTAATAGCAAAGGTTAATGCCCTGAATCCTGAGCCCGCATTCCCACATGGTGGCTGTCAGTGAATATGAATATCAGCTGCCTGCTTGATATGGGCCATGTGATCCAGACAGGCTTCGGAGAGTCCATGTACCCAGATGAAATGGAATGTGAAATATTGTGTGTATATATGCCTTTCTGCATTTGGATGCAGATAGTTGATGGTGTTCATCGGATCTCCAGATGGATTTGTGGACACAGACAACTTTAAGAACCACTAATTTTTGTCACAGGATATGTTGGAACTTACTTTTTCTATTTTATTATAGTTAATTGTTATATTTATTTATGTGTCAGGCAAGATCGTATTCTTCCCACAGTAACAAACAACTCCAACGTCTCAGGAGCTTATAACAATAAATGTTTAATTCTCACATAAAATTCACTATGATTCTAGATGATTCTCCTAGTCTGCTGTCTTCTATGCAATGAGTCAGCTCAAACTTTTATTACAACTCATGTTTCAATAATTGCCAAGACAAGGGAAGAGAGGGCTGGCTGAAGAATCTCACACCAAGCAATCAAATTCTTCTTCCTGAAAGCAACATGTCATCTTCTCCTGCATTTCACTGGGCAAAGCAAGTAACATGTTCTTATCCAATCTGGAGCGGGCAAGTAAGTTCAAACCTCCTATGTGCCCAAAAGAAGAGAACTAAAAACATCAGTGGACAGCATTATTGTCAAACACAATGTACCTGCTTCCTGGTTCAGCTCATTCATCCCTGACAAGAATATCGTGTTGACTTAAGTAACTAAGAAAAATGGTATTTTGGTATTTTAATGAGAAACTCTAAAGCTAAAGACAAAAAGAACTGTATATAATCTTTACCCTCTGGTTGGTAATTTGTTTCTCTCAGGGGCATGAGATTCTGTAGCTATATGTACACTATAATTGAACAAATATTTCAATAAATGATAGATAATGAGACCCAGATTGTTCAAGCTCAGAGAAAGAAATTGGCAAATAAGCAAGGAAGTGCTGAATTATCATCAGAGACATTAATATAAACTTATGTAAATTTAATGTATATACAGATAGATACAGAAATAACCATAGATGTGTGTATATAATGGTTAACATATAAACATATGGCCAGGCACAGTAACTCATGTCTGTAATCCCAGCACTTTGGGAGGCTGAGGTGGGTGGATCATCTGAGGTCAGGAGTTTGAGACTATCCTGGCCAACATGGTGAAACCCCATCTCTATTAAAAATACAAAAAGTTAGCCAGGTATGGTGGTGGGTGCCTGTCATGCCAGCTACTTGGGAGGCTGAGGCAGGAGACTAGCTTGAACCCAGGAGGCAGAGGTTGCAGTGAAAGATCGTGCCATTGCACTCCAGCCTGGGCAACAAGAGCAAAACTCTGTCTCAATATATATATATTATATAATATATAGTCCACTATATATTTAGTCCATTATATTATATATAGTCCACAGTCCACTGAGAGGGCCTAAAAGCAATGACAATGACATACTAGTTAACAATGAGCACACCATGTGTCCAGACCTTGGTTTCTAAATACCATTCTTCATTTGAAATAAACAGGGTTTCTCAGAAAAATGGTTAATTCTAGGGATGGGGCACGAAAGAATACAAGATGAGTTTGATTATCTTGTAATGCCAGAAAATAAGGAAGTGCTAAAAAAAAACAAAAAACAAACAAACAAAAAAAACAAAAAGAATGAAGGCATGTCAAAGAGACAAAAGAGCCAACTTGAAAGAGTTCTCAGTGGCCCATGCCAAAGCAATTTAAGCAATAAAGCAATGTAGTAGTGGATTATAACACAAAGTATAAAAATAAATATGTATAAGTCATACAGATATAAATAAATGTTTGAATAAAATACATGTGAGGAAGGGAAAAATCATTCTTACTGAAGATTTACAACTTAAATATGTAGATACTCCCCAACCAGGGGGTGGAGCTTGATTCCCCTACTTTTGATTGTGGGATTTAGTGACTGACTTCCAAAGAATAGACCACGAAAAGGGAAAAACAGTGGTGACAGCTAGCAGACACAGCCTTAAACAAGTGGTCAATATTAATACCAGCAGTGAAAAGCCATGCTTTTATACTCCACTATGTTATGATATGACATGACATAAAGTACAATGTAAGATATAATGTATAAGAAGAGACTTGGGTTTGAATCCCAGCTCACCACTTATTACCTGTAGGACTCTATATCTCTCTAGGCCTCAGTTTCCTCATTGGTACAATGGGAGAAATAATAGATCCCTTCCTATAGGCTTATTGTGGATAAATGCAATAAGTACAGCTCTTAGAACAGCATCTGGCACAAAGTAAGTGTTCAATACATACTAGATGTTATTATACTTCTTTATCCTTTTCAGTTCCTGGCACAGAGAAGACCCTGTATACATTTTTTAGTCGAGATGGAATGGTTATTATTATTTTAAACCAATCATTTCAGAGGTTAAGATTTACATTTGGCAGCTTCCATTGCAGGATTTCTGGGGCATCTCATCCATTATTAGGCAAATAGAAATAATCATTCTGTGTATTAGTCCATTCTCACACTGCTATAGAGACACTACTGGAGATTGGGTGATTTATAAACGAAAGAATTTTAACTGACTCACAGTTCCACAAGGCTTGGGAGGCCTCAGGAAACTTACAATTATAGCAAAAGGGGGAGAGGAAGAAAGGACCTTCTTCACATGACAGCAGGAGAGGGAAGAGCAAGCAAGAGTAGGGAAAACTGTCTTATAAAACCATCAGATCTCATGAGAACTCACCCATTATCTGGAGAACAGCATGGGGGAAACTGTTCCTATGATCCAATCACCTCCCACCTTTGAGACGTGGTGATTACAATTCAAAATGAGATTTGGGTGGGGGCAAAAAGCCTAACTATATCATTCTAGCATCTAAATGTGAAGGTCACCTTTTGGGATACAAGGAAAGGCATGATTACAGTGTGGTTAGAACACTAGCTCTGGATTTCAGATCTTAACTTGACCACCAGTAGCAGGGTGATCCATTTTTTAACCACTTGATCTTCCTCACCTGCAAAGTGGGTATAGTGCCAGTATATACCTCAATGATAATTCAAAAGTCTACATTCAGTAAACTCCCTGGCACATAGTAAGGGCTCAATAAATATGTGTCATCATTATACAAGATAATAAAGGAAGAAGTCTAGCTGCTAGTATGGACAGATTCCCTTTGATAAGAAAATGCATTCAAAAATCTTCTTCTCCCATCCTAGCTTGGAGGATTTCCTGGCTCCTTTATAGGCACTAGAGATAAAGGAAGAGACAGAAATTCCTTCTTCCTCAATCCTACTGTTTAGAAGTGGGTGGGGGCTGGGGCCTCAGGTCCTAGCCTTGGCATCTGGGCCCATTGCCTCTCAGAGCAACTTCTCCCCCATCCCGTGCCACTCACAGGCCAAAAGGGTTAGGGGAGGTGGGTCTGAGCAGATGACCTCTGGGACTCACAGGTCAAACACAGGCTGGGAAGGGGAGAGACCGAAGGAGCAGCAGCTGCTATTTGCTGGGCTGTGCTCCCTTGGAATTATTTGTTTAAGTTTCAATGAAATGATTTTAATGTAGTGGATCTATATTTTATGTTCAGTTTTTTCAAGAAAAGATTTTCAATCTGCAGTTTATTTCAGAAAAGCCCCAGTCCTCCCTTGAGGTTGTTGATAGTAACGTAAGTACTCAATTATTTGGTCTGATAGGAGAACAATTGTTCAGGGTCACAGACCTGACCAGGAAATCCCAACATCAACCACCAAGACCATTCCTTCTGCTTTGATAATTATTTTAAACAAATAATATAGTTCCATGATTCTAAATTCTAAATCTACCCCCAAATTTTCTCCTACTTATCCTCATCTCTAGTTCATTCCATAAAGGCGATGACTTTATTAGTTTCCAGATTTTATTTCTGAATCTTCCTAAAGTATTATTAATGTCTAATCATAAAAATATGTAAATATACACCCTGTTGTTGTTGTTTTCTGTAGTTCTTTTTAATAGGAAGTATTTCTCAGGCCCCCAGATAGCTGCTATATTTTTACTTCCATATGCTAAAATACGTACTGAATTTAGTGGCACTTTAAATGAACTAGTGTTTTATTAATAACAACATCTGCATTCATTTTAACAACTTCTCTTGTAGGTGTTTAAGAACACCTATACTTCACTGTATCATGCAGCATCTAAAAGGAATGAGGTAGCTCTATCTGTATCAGCGCTAAAAGATCTACTAAAAAGAAACAACTTTAGAAATAACCACTTACACTATAAAAGCAATGATATGAAAACCATCCCCAAAATACTCCAAATTCATTGGGCACCTACACACAAGCATACAACACTCTCTTGAGAGTTATATACCAAACCAAGAACAACGGGGAAGGGAACGAAATGGAAGGGAGTCAGGGATAAATAGTCCAAAGGGCCATTAGCTGAGAACACACAGCACTGGGACAGGCCATTAGGCAGCACTCATCCTTTATGGCTGGCGTCCACCCGATTGGCCATATCACATGTGGAACTGTTGTTAGGTATTTTGAATATTATCCGTGGTCATTAGCCTTATCTTTACTGTTCAAATATTCTTAGCAAATGAATTCATATATTTCTTTTAAAATTAAAAATTATATATAGAAAAGATTGTACATGCCAGACGTATGTATTTCATCCACCAAAAGACTTGAGAGTTCATGGCTTTGTAGTCCAGAGACTGCAATCTACTGATTCATTCCACAAATCCATAATTTTCCAAAAGCTCAACACCTCCATCTGGACTCAAAAGTACATCAGAACCCCACCTCCAACCTTGAAATGGCCTCTCCATGTGTGGAGGTAGATTAAGCCCCTATTGTTCAAATCCCAATCCAATCTTCATTCTCAGCCTAAGACACTTGGGCAATGAGAAATAGGGAAAGAGGGCCCCTCTTCGGTCATTCCCACCTAACAAGCTGCAAAAGCAAAAATTGTTCATCAGAAATCATCTCTGACAACTTATAGGGATCGGTAAACTTTTTCACAAGGGTCCAACTAGTAAATATCTTAGGTTTTGTGGGCCAGATGGTCCCTGTGAAAATCACTCAACTCTGCCATTGTAACACAATACTAAAAACAGGGAAATGAATGGGTGTGACTGTGTTCCAATAACACATTCTTTACAAAAACAGCCTCCAGCAGGACATGCTTCACAAACTCCTGAGGCTGACAAGTACTATTGCCAATACCTTGTCTCTCTCTAACTCATCACTGGCCTGAAGTAGCAAAACCCCAAAGCCAGATGGAGAGTCTCAATCCAAAATAACATCTTCTACATTAGGAGATCTGTACAGAGTAAAGGGCTGCAAAGCGCTTCCATCCCAGCATTGCCCAGTGACCTCAGAGATAAAGGACTCTCTGGGACTAGGTAATGTTCAACTTCCTGTACTCAAGGAATTTCAGGTCCTCAGTGTACACAAACTGACCCCAGACATCAACACAAGAGCTGGATATGGAAGAGAAGTTTCAATTTTGGTTCTCAAATCTGTATTTCTCTCTACATTGAATGCTTGTCTCCTTAATTTAAGTAGAAGCATAGAGAACTGAAATGTAGAAGTCAGTCACAAATCCTACCTGGGTTGGGCAGACTTTCCCTGATAAGACCCTATCTATTGTAAAGCTCCCACATCACACAAGAAATCTATCTTTATCTTAAGTAATAAGCATTATGCCAGTCAATCTTTCTGTGGCAGGTTGACACATCATTAAACCAAGGCATGAGGATTAAAAAAAAAGGCCCCATCAAACCATCACAACTCCCATTTCTTTTATATGTAACAATGCAATAAAGGTAACTCTTAAAATTGCAGATGTCCTGCATTCAGCCTGATCAGATGGGGTTATTCCAGGTTTTCTCCAAAATTGCAATGCCAATTGGGGTACCAGTTTCAAAGATAATACTAAGTAAGTAGCTCAAGGAACTGAAGAAAAAAAGAAACATAACAGAGAAAATCATTTTCAACTCCTACTAGAAACTGTTGAAAGCTTTTTTTGTACCCAATTAGAGATTAGAGAAGGTGGAGGAAGATCTAAACATCGTGATTAGCGTGTTATTTTTTTTTCTTCTTGCTCCCAATTAAAGAGGGGTTTCTTCTTTCACTAGAGATGCACAGTTATTAAATCATGATGTCTTTCTTTTAAAAACCAATTTATAGCAGAGGGCTCCTCCATACCACTGCCACTTCTGCAAGGTTGCTTATAATTGCTCCATGCAATGCTTTGACTAATTAAATCACAGGAGATTGTTTCTTAGTAACACACCTGGTCCACTCTTTGTTGTTGGCTTTCATTAAAGCACGGTGTCTCATGCTGCCTCATAGCATGAAAGGATATTAATCAGGTAAATGGCCATTAAAAGTCATATCAGTGTTTGCTGTGCAGTGATTGTTTTCTCAAATCTTGAACAAAGGAGGTTTCTTTGAAATCTCAGGGCTGGCCTCCAATCACAGGGAGAATAACCAGGTTGAAATGCTTTGTTTTTCAACCTTACCAAGAAGAAGAAAAAAGGAACAAAATGCAAGATGTGGCAAGAAGTTAAATTATATTTTTTGCACCACTGAGCTATTTGGGACAAAGAGGGACAAGGTGAACAAACTGCAATCAGTGTATGGCAAGTGGGGGACAACAGATAGGAAGTGTTTTCTAATGGCCCCCATTCCCTGGGAGAGCAAAGCTCGACTTTGGAGGCATTGCTGCTAATTAGGTTGCATTTCAGAGCTCTAGTTAGAAATAAAAATGCCCCGGGAATCGAATGCTACTTGCATATTAAATTGAAAAGGGAAAATGTTGCTAAATATCTCGTTTTGTCAAGAAAGTATCCTTTATGGTTTACTGATCAGGTACTGTATCTGGACATGGAATATGGTCACGCCAGTTTGATTTTTGAGTTACTTTGCTCCTCACCCACCCCCACCGCCCCAGAAAAGCCCCTACAAATTAACATGTATTTATATAGCCTAGCCCACATCTAGCAGAGCAAACATTCCATTCAGGAGAGGGAGAGAGGTGACTATAAGGCACCTGAATAAATGACCAGCTTGCCAAAGGCATCTGCGTATAATCCTGGATCCTGCAACCTTTTCTTGTTTTCTGCCATAAATGGCGATTTGTTCTGGATTGAGCATGTGGCCTAGTAGAAACTGGGGTAAAGCATTCTGCTTAAGAACCCAGGCTCTGGAATACACATTCTGGGGTTGGAATTCCATGTTTGCAACCTTATGGCTGTGTGACCGTCAGCAAATTACTTAAATCTTCTGTGCCTTGGCTTTATGTCTATAAAAGTCACAAAAATAACAGTAATAAGACTCCTACAGTTGTTATGAGAATTAAATGAAAGTATTATATATAGTCTGAGATACACACACCCACATATATTTATATATACACACATTATGTATATACACACGCACAAACACACACACACACACACACACACACATATATATATATATATATAGAGAGAGAGAGAGAGAGAGAGTCTGGTTCATAAAAAGTCCTCAATAAATGTTAGCTGTTAATAGCTGCCAAAGGCTTACACAGTATATGTATAATAATACATATATTTTATTCAAATCAGAATGTCAAATGGAGACTCAGTAACTAAATACTCCTGGCGGGTTGCCTTTTGTGATGCTGTATCATGAGAGAAGGGTGTGAGCTTGAATTGGTGCTAACTGAGTCAGTGGGGAAATGAAATCAAGGTGGCCTGTTTTGGGGCACTTCTATGGCTCTCCAGTGGGATCCCAGCAAGAGGCTTCTGCCTAAAGCCAAGCATACCTCACTGGGGCAGCCTTTGAGACGGTTGTCCACGCTGCCCACTGCACAAGAGCACCCAGAGAAGGAACGGGGGCTGAAATTGAGACCGCGGCCCACAGTCCACTCTGCATGCATTTGAGCCAGCTATGCCTGACAGGGTCTTCCAACAGAGAGAACCTCTGGGCATCTTCTTTTGGTGCAGCCTCAGTTGCCTGCACAGGGGCCTTCCTGACACTTCCCAAAGGACAGAACGGGCAACTGCAAATGACAGAAAGGCCAACACCACTTGGCTCAGGCAGGAAGGCCAAGAGCTTGCAAAACCAGGAATTGCTGGGGGTGGCTCCAACTCTGAACACAACACGGCACCTCCAGGGCCCTGGGCATTTCCAGGGTCCAGGGCCCTGGGCGTCTTCAGGCTGCCTTCTCTCTCCCAGCAGATCCTCGTTGCACAAGGCTGTCTAGTGCTCCATGGTGACCAGAAGAAGGGCAGCACCTCCAGCTCACTAAAGCACCTGTGCAGCTCTCAAGGCTCCAGAGAAACTTGCCCCTCATTGGTTGGGATCCAGTCACGTGCTATTCCTGACCCAATGACGCTGGGCGAGAGGAGCTGATATTCTGATTGGCCATGTTGGGGAGGGCGGCGGGGTGGTTCCAGGGTATTTCAGGCCCCATGGGTGGTGCCACAAGCATGTGACCTTCAGGGCTCAGAGTTGGAGACAGCAGGCGAGCTGGTTATGCAGGGGAAAGCGGAGGTGCTGTTACTAGAAGTAGCATGACTGGATGTTGGCTCAGTAAAATGGCAGACGTTCCGTAGAATGGAGAAAGGAGGAGGCCATGGAGCAGTGGGATGGGGCTTATAGGGAAAGCAACATGACAGGCGTTTTCTCCCTAGGTGTCTTTCTGAAGACTGTTGCTGACCGTTGAGCCGACATGGACAACCTGAAAGCCCCTGCTGTGGCACACAGGGCGTCAGAAACTGACCTAAATCTCGAAGGCTGTGGTTCTCACATTCGTTGCACATTAAAATTACCCGAGGAGCTTTTCAAACATCTCTGTGCCTGAATTCCACCCCCAGAGATTTATTTAACTGTTGGAGAGGGGATGGGAAGAGGTTAGGTGCGGATATTTTTTAAAAGCTTCCCCAAGTGATTCTGTTCAGCCATGACTGAGAACTACCATCCTAGGGCATCTGCCTGTATTCTTTAGCAAACTTGCTCACAGAAGGGGGAGAAATTACCAAACTCCTGAGAATCCTCATCCTGGTTAGACATACTAATTTTCCCCACTCCAGGGCAGATTCTAAGATTAGGGGAATTATGCTAGGGGCACTTGGGAAGAGAATGGGGGGTTGCTCTTTTGAATGATGAGAAAATAAGTAAATTAAAAGGCACCACGCTTTATCTTCTCACTGTTTTGTTTTCACACTGCTTCCTCTAATATGCTTTTACACTGCTTTCAACAGCCATGATGTCATCATATAAGCTTACAAAAGAAATTGCGGAAAAGGTGGAACTTTTGGGAAATGTGCTCAGAGGAGGAAATTATTCTCCTGCCCTTACTCTCTCTGTCCACCAGTTTCATTTCTGTCCCCTTTCTCCAGAGAAAGGGGGATTCCTTTTTTTTTTTTTCTGATTGGAAGGAGACCCCCATTCAATGTTTGTATGGGTTCTTTTACTAATTACAATAAAAGAGTTGCCATTCAAGAAGCCAAGTTTCTAATGAGGAAGTGAAAATAACCACCCTGCATATTAACTGCCGACCATCTCCACTTGCTGGATTAAATGTCAAGAAAAGATGCATTCACTGCTGGGTTTCTAATCTGCTTTGATTCACTAGTCTGCTTATGCATACTAGCTTTCCTGTTTTTTTTTAAGGTGTTATTTTCTTTACTGTTTAACAGGCTCAGGAAAGGCTTAAATTCATGAAGAGTGGGCCTGTAATAGGTTTGCAAGCAGAAAGTTAAGAATGCCTGGGATGTGTCTTGGGGTCATCACCAGTGTGGGTTACTATTATATTCACACACAGTAACCATCTGTTGATATTGAAGGCAGTACTAGAACACAGCCAAGTGGTACTAAAACACAGTCTCTACCCCCACCCCTACCCCAGTCTACCCAGTACAACAATTTTTATATGACTTACTAAGATTTAAAGGACCCCCTCAGATGCCACTCTTTTCCATTACTTTCACATGGTCAGATTTATTCTGAAATGTACTCATCATGAAAGTTTATTGCATTCTTTTTTTGTTCTTTACATCCTCTCTTGTATTTGTAAACCACATCCATTTTACAGAACACTTTTATGTTTGTTATCATATTTTAATCCTCACAGCCACCCTGGAATAATGAAGTATGTTAAGGACACAAATGCTGTTAATGATTCCACTCTTTAAGGTGATATCTTAATTAGTCAGTGAATGCACAGTTTCATGGCAGACTTTTCGAATGCTTTGGCATATGACTGCAAGTTAATGGCCTTCCCTGATGGGTGCTGCTATAGTTTGAATATGTCCCTCAAAGTTTATGTGTTGGAAACTTAATTGCCCTTTTAACAGTATTAAGAGGTGGGGCCTTCAAGAGGTGATTAGGCAATGAGAGCCCTACACTCACAGATGGATTAATGCCATTATCAGGAGAGTGGGTTAGTTATCATGGGAGTTCATAAAAGGATGAGTTTGGCCTGATTTTCTCTCTCTTTTTCATGTGCTGACTTCCACTTTCTGCCTTGTGCCATGGGAAGACCCTCACCAGATGACAGTGCCATGCTTTTGGACTTCCCAACCTCCAGAAATGTGAGTCAAACAAATTTCTATTTTTTATAAATTACCCAGTTTGGGGGTATTCAGTTATAAAAAGAGAAAATGAACTAAGACAGGTACATAACATTTTCATATAACCCAAAAGCACCAATTTTTATTATCCAGTATCGTGTGCTACAGCCACCCTCAGCTGTTCTTTGACCCTGCCATCCCATTAACTAAGGATCAAGTTCAAATGCACACAGTGACAAGGAGGGAAGAGTAGTTTCATAGCAAGGGATGTATAGGGACTATGGCAAACCAGAGAACACAAGCCACTTATTGCCATGAAAAAACAAGGTCCAGGTGTTGCCAGATCTTTCACTTTCTCAAGAGAAGCTTTTAATCAAGATCCCAATTTAATATCTCTATCTTTACATTGTAACTAATCTTTTTTTACTGTCTCTCTTTCTAACTGTATAGGCCACATCAGTCATTTTATTCCAGCTGGATTCAACCTGTACACTGTTATCTGTGTCTCCTGCTCATTCCTCATTTTTCTATTTTGATTAGTTCAGGATTGGCAATGACAACATCACTCACTCAAAACAGCCAAATCAGTATGTTATGGGAGAACCAAATGGTCAGTCATGTCAAATTATCTTTTCTCGTGCCTGAGTATCTCCTGCACCAAACAATTTTGATTACCATCTCTGTCTGTTTCTATTGTAACTTAAATATAATTCTGATACCATACATATCCCATTGAATGGTAATTGTCTATGTAGATATTTCTCTCCTATTAGATAGCTCCTTAAAAGCTAAAACTGTTTCTTTTTCATCTTTCTGTCCCCAGTTGCTAGTCCACAATGGACCTCAATTTTTATTTAATGAGCATAGAAAGCTTTGCACAGCTATTTGTAAAAGGAACAATTTTAGTGATTTGGAAAAGTGAATAAACCCTACTGTGATGTGTGTATACATACATATACATACACATACACATACACAGATACATACAGACACACGCACCACACCCCTAACAATATCGTCATCACACAACCGAATCCTGTGGTTGGCCCATTAGGAAAGATAAGGCCAAGGTTCTTTATAATCACCAATAATAATGAATGTAGTTCTGAGAACAGAAGTAGTAAGCAATGAACTTGAACTAGATGCTTCCCCAGATGCTTAAACATTTATACTGGGCTCTTGAAATACACTTCCTCCTCCTTCTTCCTCCAAGCTTCCATGACTGATCCCCATCCTATCACTTTGCCCTGAACCCCAGCCAGAGCAACATGGACACAGGCGTCCATGTTCCTATGTTGCTTCCTCTCCCTGTACACTCTGTCCCTCCCCCGTCCTATTCATCCTTCACAGAAGCTCAAACTCCATCTTCAGTAAAGTGTCCTGGTTGCTTCAGTTACAGAAGACCTCTTCCATTTCAAAACTTTTGTAGTGCTTATAATCTAGTCCTTCCACTTTGCTACTTTATTATATTTAGTCTTTCTTGTGTTAATGTGTAGTTGCATCCCTCATAAATCTTTATAATTATTATTATAAAGAATATTGTCTTTAAAATTGTTATTTTGAAGGATGAAATGGGAATGAGGAGACAGAGATCTACAGATTCACAGTAACAAAAGTTGTTATATTGTCTTCACTAATTTTGAGATTAATAGATCCTGTGCATAGCTATGAAATGTAAATATCACTGAATAAATCCAGTGTTGGAATACGTTTAACTTCTGCTCAAGCAATGGCCTTTGTCTTTTTATCATGCATATTCTTGATATCTTTTTCTCTCTCATTCATTCAGCAAAATTTATTGAGCTCCAATTGTGTGTCAGGCACTGATCTAGGTGCAAGGGATACAGCTGTAAACAAGAGACAAGATTTATGCTGTCACTCAGCTGACGTTACATTAGAACAAGCAAACAATTTCAAACAGCAATTACTACCATGAGGAAAACCAGGTTGACAGGCTAGAGAATACCTGGGCCTGTGAGTGAGGTAACAAGCTTGGTGTGTTGATGGAACAAAGGCAACACACAAAGCCACTCAAACTAAAAGATTTCGTCACAAGTACAAGTGTTTTATTTTTCCCCTTAAGTAGAAGTTGCTAGATTCTAGACTCTACTGGTTGCCTCACTTTATTTTTCAACATTTTAACTAAACTATAATATACCTATAGGAAAGTACACAATCATAAGTTTACAGCTCAATGAATTTTTTTCTCAGTGAAGACACCTGTGTATGTACTTAAATTAAGAAACTGTGTATCACTGGCCACGACTATCCTCAAAAATGCCCCTTGTCCTTCTTTTCAGTGACTAACTCCCCTTTTTATCACCACACATGAGGTTTACCTGGTTTTTAAATGTATATGAATGGAATTAAGGTGTTATTTGGTAGTCTCTTATTGAGTGTACTATAATTTATTTCTCTATTCTATTGTTAATGGGCATTTGAGTTATTTTTAGTTTTTGACTATTAAAAATACTGCTATTATGAAGGTCTTTGTACAAGGCTTTGGTATTTGTATGTATACATTTGCTTATATAGGGTGTTTGTATTTCCAGCGTTAGTAGATGCTGCTAAAGTGGTTGAACTAACTTTTACTTCTAAACCAGAAGTTAGTAAAATTCAGTCACTCCATATCTTCACCAACACTTGATGTTCTCTGTCTTCTGCAATTTAGCTTTTCTAGTAGAATCACAATAATATCCACTATGACTTTAATTTTCATTTCCTTTATTATTAATAAGATATTGCTTTTCATATGTTCATTGGTCATTTAGATATCCTCTTTCTGAAAAGACTGTCTTTCACCTATTTTTTATTGGGTTACTTTTTCCTTTCCATGTAATTTGTGGAATTTCTTTATATATCACAAATATTTATTAGATATATGTCTTGAAAATGAATTATCCCACTCTGCTTTTTTACTTCCTTAAATTTGGCTTTTGATCTACAAAAATTCTTAAGTTAATTCAATGTTTCATTTTTTTCTGTATACATGCATATATATATATATATATATATATATATGTTTTTCCCTTTGAGTTAGTGTTTTACAAAACCTTTGAAGAGATCATTAACTACCCAAATCTCATGAAGTGGTAGAGCTGTGGATACACAGTGACAGCAGGGAGGAATAGGTTTGGTGTCCAGATGATCCACTTGGATACCTGTTGGTCTTGCTTGACAGATGATATCTGTAAATACACAAGTACAGCAGCCATGGCTTGGGAAGGGCATAGTGAACAGGAGCTCGTACTGCTCAGAAATAAGGATCTGGATCACAGCATCAGGTAAGCCACCGAGGTCAGCAGAGGTGCTAGGTAACAGTGAGGAGAATCCAAAATGGCAGAGAAGAGGGAAATGGTGACTATTAGTTATAGCTCTGAGACCAGCTGCAAGTGGCAGGAGCTGAAGATCATACCATTAGCCTTCATCTGAATTTCCCTTGGGAAAAGAAGCCCATTGGAGTTCTGGCGTGGGGGTGGCTGTTCCCAGAAGCTCCATGAAGAGGTGAATTGGAGTGGTACACGAGGTGGACTGTAGTGCATGTGGTAATCTGCCTCGTTTGGTAAGTGGTGTATCCAGCAGGCCTTGCCTCAGGACCATAGACATATGATGTTTTATTGGACTTGCATCGTATATCCACCTAATACACCCAATTCTCTAATCCTTTTGTTCTTTCCTCCCACTGACTGGCATGGTGGTTCTTTACTGCCATTTCTGGTTTTCCTAGCATTTCTACTTCATTTGGTGTAGGCCATCACTATTTTCATCTGTGTAGAAGCCACTCTAACAGTGTATTTGTGCCATCTTCCAGAGTCCTTGCCAGGATGTTAAACTCTGCATTTGACAGAGTGTTTCCCAATCAATGAATTGTGTCTTACTGAATGTTCTATTCTCTCCCTAGATCAAGCACCTTCAGACTACAGTCCCATAAACATTTTCTAGTTTCTATTCATACATGTTACCTAGGTCTTACATCTCCTTTAAGTCTAGACCCTTTTCTCCCTTATCAGGCCCACTATATCCCTGCCCAGGTTATTTTGGACTTGACCCTTGTTATTTATAGTCTTATTGGCCATGATGAAAATGGGGGCATATCCTGAAGGAGTGGTTGGCATGTGTCTTGCAGGGGAGAGATGTCTGCAGTCTTCAAATAAGGGAATGTGGTAGGCCATTAAGGCAGTTGTGCACCATTTCTATATGTTCAGAGGCTCAGGGCGACCTTGATATGTAAGGTTTTAGTCTGCTTTAATTCTCCTCTTTCCTAATCAAAGACATAATAGATGTGCCTAGGTTTAGAGTTTAATTTCCAATGTCACTCATATGATGAAATTTTGGGCCTGGTCCTCAGCTATCTCTGCCCTTATGCTGTATGAAATGTAAGTGTCTTTATTTGCTATCAAGCAGGACCTCTGCATTTCCTCTTTATCTTTTCACTGGCAATTAATTACTGTCAGTCATTCATGATGTTTTTCCGCAGCATCAGTGGAGCTTAGTAATAGCTATCTGAGATGACTGTCCCTTTTTTATGGTTACCACATTGTTTCTCAAATGCCTGCTATTGCACCAGCTTGTGAATTCCCTTCTGCTAGTATGCTATCCTAGTTAACCAGCAGTAAAAACTCTAATAATTGCATTGCCACCTCATGCCAGGAACTATCTGTATTCTTACCACCAACGAGTCCTCCTTGCCACTTGGACAGCAGCAAGTGATCCAGCTCCAAAATCCCATCTCAGCATCTGCTTTCTCCAACTACTTCTAATACCAACTGTTGCAGATCTTATTCCCCAGAAAGCAGAATTTGAAATGGAGACTAGTGTACAGGAAGCTTTTGGAATCAACACTTATGGAAGGGATGTGAATAAAGTGGTACTGAACAGGAAAAGTTGGACTGTAATATAGTCTCAACAAAGTCCTCAGTCAACTGTATATGGAACTGTACAGCTACAACCCTCAAATTCAAGTGACAGAGCTGGGATTTTGCACGTGCACATCCATCAGTTATTGAATAAGGCTGCTCTGAAAAGGGAGTATGGCCTAGAGCAAGGTGACTCCCTTAACTGAGACAGCTGTAAAATGCTGGGAGTGCTGCCTGCAGAGAGCCCTCAGATTTTAACCCCTTTTAAAGTGTGGTGTAATTTACTATACCAACAGAACAAAGAAGATTAAGTTGGCACTTTTATTTTTACTTCAACCCAAATACTTATTTCTCTCCTCTTACTGCAATGAGCCTCTGATATGGTGACAAATACAAGTAATGATAGTCAACATTTTTGTTTCATTCCTAGTTTCAAGGAGGAAACCTTTTACATTTTACTAATAAATATCATATTTGCTATAGGCATTTTTATCCATACCTTTTATTAGGTATTAATTTCCCTTCTCTTTCTAGCTTTTAAGGAACAAATATTGAATTTAATTAAATGTATCTTATCTATTGAGATAATTATATAATATATTCAGATTATTATCTTTTATTCTATTCACATGGCAAATTATAGTAATTTTAAAAAGCTCAACTGGAGAGATGGGGGACAAGATGGGTGACTAGACAAACCAGGAAACACTGCTCCCATGGAAGGGACCAAAATATCAGGTAAACCAATGTAATTTGAGCAGGTCATCAGAGAGAAAACACCGAGAGTGGATGGAGAGGTGACACGGACTCAGAGGCTGAAACAGGGCGAAGCTTGGAACCCTGCATGGTGTACTCAAATTCCAGGGCAAGGTCCTAGCAAAAGGCTCCTGGGGAAGGGTTGAGTGAAGGGACTGAGGCGCAGGCCACTCTCACCACTAATCTCCGGGATCCTAGATACAGAGGTTCCTGTGACCCCCATAAACATTTGAGCTAGAAAGGGGATCTGCTGAGAGAGTAAGCAGAGACAGGCCTTCAGCCAGTGCAGAGTCCAGGGGCTTTTGTCTGTGGAGCAGCTCCGGTGGAGTGGAACCATAGGCACCCATCCCCCAGGGCTCCCCATCTCCCTCTGAGAAGCTCTAGCCCTAGCTGACTGCTGGGCCAGGAGAGAAGAGAACTAGCTTCTCCATGGGAATGGGGTGTGTGTGTTCTGCAGGCTGCTCACCAGCCCCTTGCTATGCTTCTGCCTGGCTGTCCGGCAGGAGCATGTGCCCAGTACAGTCTCTGCTTCCCAACCTGGGTGCTTTGCTCCACCTGAGTACTTTTCCAGTGACCTGGGAGAACTTTGGATCCCCCAGTACAGCCAGAACCCAACACTAAGCCATGGGCCAGTCAACACTAGAGAGTGCTAAGCTGAGATCTGTGCCAGAACTCAGACTGGGGAAGAGCCCCAACTCTCAGAGCACTGACAGGGGTGAGACATACAGGTTTGTGGGCTGTTGTGGGAGCAGGGTGTGCCTTTCTTTACAGGGCCAGTCCAGAAATGGTGTGGCCTATCTCACTGCTTCAGCCTCTACCCAATGAGTCCCATAGCCAAGAACACCTAACATAAGAAACATGGGTGTGGTGCCAGTGATTGGAGGGGCTCCCCCAAGGTCCAGGGGCAGACCTGGTGAGGAGGTCAATTCTCTCTTCCTTACCAGTGTAGAGCACATCTGCAAATATGAGGAAATACAAAAGAGACACATGGCTAAGAGCCTATCAAACAGCCATTACTCTTAAATGCCAACTACTGGATAGCAGTTCAGCCTACACCACCAAAAATATTCTGCTAACACCTGTGAACCCAAGAGTAAGAATCCAGCCACATGTAAAAACCCTGTACAGAGCCTTGGCCCTCTGAAAGCATATAGAAACTAAGCCAACTGAGTACACTTATCTTACACCACAATTGAAAGAACACCAACCTTCCCAGATAAGAAAGAATCAGTGCAAGAACTCTGGAAATTAGAAAGGCCAGAGTGTCCTCTTACCTCCAAATGAACCCACTGGCTCCCTGGCAATGGTTCTTAACCACACTGAACTGGTAGACATAGAATTCAGAATCTGGATGACAAGGAAGCTTATTGAGATTTAGAAGAAAGTTGAAACCCAACCCAAGGAATCCAAGAAATCCAGTAAAACAATACAAGAGGTGAATGATAAAATCACCATTTTAAAAAATAACCTAACCGAGCTTCTGGAACTGAAAAATTCACTACAATAATTTGATAATACAATCAGAAATATTAACAGAAGAATAGACCAAGCTGAGAAAAGAACCTCAGCACTCAAAGACCAGTTCTTCAAATCAACTCATCAGATAAAATTTTTTAAAAAACTGCAGAAATTAACAAAACCTCTGAGAAATATGGGATTATGTAAAGAGAAAAAAACCTATGGCTCATTTGCATTCCTTAGAAGAAAAGAAAGCACCTCGGAAAATATATTTGAAGATATAGTCCACAAAGATTTCCCTAATCTCACTAGAGAGGTTAACAGAAAAATTCAAGAAATACAGAGAACCTTGGCTAGATACTGTACAATATAACCATCTCCAAGACACATGGTCATCAGATTCACCAAGGTCAACACAAAAGAAAAAATTTTAAAGGCAGCTAAGAAGTTATATAAAAAGAAAATCCTTTTAGGCTAGCAGTGGACTTCTCATCAGAACCTTACAAGCCAGAAGAGATTAGACGCCTAATTTCAGTATCCTTAAAGAAAATAAATTCCACCAAGGAATTTCATATCCCACCAAATGAAGCTTCATAAACAAAGGAGAAATAAAATCCTTCTCAGACAAGCAAACACTGAGGGAATTCGTTACCACTAGACCACCCTTACAAGACATGGAATTGAAAGAACGACACTTGCTACCACAAAAACACACTTAAGCACATAGCCCACAGACATATAAGGCAACTACACAATCAAGTCTACATAACAACCAGCTAACAACACAATGACAGTATCAAAATATTACATATCAATATTAACCCTGAATGTAAATGGGCTAAATGCCCCACTTAAAATACATAGAGTGGCAAGCTGGATAAAAAGACAAGCCAACCATCTGCTGTCTTCCAAAGAACCGTCTCATATAACAAAACCCACACAAGCTCAAAGTAAAGGTGTGAAAAAGACTTACCATGCAAACAGAAAACAAAAAAGAGTTGGAGTTGCTATTCTTAGATCAGATAAACAGACTTTAAAGAAGGACATTGCCTAATGATAAACAGTACAATTCAATAAGAGTTAACTATTCTGAATATATATGCACCCAATATTGGAGCATCCAGATTCATAAAATAAGCTCTTAACCTACAAAAAGACTTAGACAGCCACAGAGTGACAGTGACAGACTTCAACACCTCACTGACAGAGTTAGACAGACCATCGAGGGGGAAAACTAATAAAGAAATTCTGGACTTAAACTCAACACTTGACAAATTGAACCTAATAGACATCTATGGAATATTCCACCTAACCACCATAGAATATACATTCTTCTCCTCTGTGTGCAGAATATATTCTAAGATCAACCACATGCTCGGTCATAAAGCAAGTCTCAATAAATTCAAAAAAATCAAATCATACTCAAGCACACTCTCTGATCATGATGCAACAAAAATAGAAATCAATACCAAGAGGATCTCTTAAAACTATTATTATTTATACCTATTATATTATGTGTAAACAATAATAGTTATATATTATATAATAATATATACAATAATAGAACTATATTGTAATAGTTATCCGGATAACTATATTGTAATAGTTATCCGGATAACTATATTGTAATAGTTATCCGGATAACTATATTGTAATAGTTATCCGGATAACTATATTGTAATAGTTATCCGGATAACTATATTGTAATAGTTATCCGGATAACTATATTGTAATAGTTATCCGGATAACTATATTGTAATAGTTATCCGGATAACTATATTGTAATAGTTATCCGGATAACTATATTGTAATAGTTATCCGGATAACTATATTGTTATAGTTATCCGGATAACTATATTGTTATAGGCAACTATATTGTTATAGTTATATATGTTATAGTTATATATAGTTATATACAATATAGTTATATGTGTATGTGATACATATATAACTATGTATGTATGTGATACATATATAACTATGTATGTATGTGATACATATATAACTATGTATGTATGTGATACATATATAACTATGTATGTATGTGATACATATATAACTATGTATGTATGTGATACATATATAACTATGTATGTATGTGATACATATATAACTATGTATGTATGTGATACATATATAACTATGTATGTATGTGATACATATATAACTATGTATGTATGTGATACATATATAACTATGTATGTATGTGATACATATATAACTATGTATGTATGTGATACATATATAACTATGTATGTATGTGATACATATATAACTATGTATGTATTATAGTTACATACAATATAGTTATATATGTATATATACATATAGTTATATATAATACATATATAACTATATATGTATTACAGTTACATACATTATAGTTATATATGTATAAAATACATATATAGTTATATATAATTGTTATAGTTATATACATTATAGTTATATATAGTTATATATGTATTATATATAGTTATATATGTATTATAGTTATATAAAATATAGTAATATATGTATATAACTATAGTGTTTTTTATATATAAATATATAAATATATAAATATATATATATATATATATATATACACACACACACAACTTAGATTCTTAGGATAAAACCAACTTAGTTTTTTATTCCTTTTACACATCTTTTGAAAAATTTTTTGCCAGAATTTTGGATTAAAATTGTTATGTCTATGTTTTTGAGATATTGGTCTATAAGTTTCCTTCATTGTACTGCTTTGTCAGATTTTGCTTTCAAGGTTATAGTGACTTTATTAAGTGAATCAAGAAATTTTCTGTCTGTTTGCATAAAACTGGTGTATATTCCCTAATTGTTTGGACCAATTCGATAGTAAATCCATTTGAGGCCAGGATTTCTTTGTGAGAAGGTTTTTATTGAGGATTCTTTTTTTTTTTTTTTTTTTACTAGATATAAGACCATTCAGATTTTCTCTCCCTTCCTAAGTCAGTTTTAATAAGTTATAATTTATTAATACCTCCATTTTATCTTAATTATCAAAAGTTTCTACTTAGATTCTCATCCTCCTTCTGCTACTTTCTACATGTTTTTCTCCTCTTTGCCTTGAACTACTTTTTAATTGGAGATTGCTTTGAGTGAAAAAGTGACTGAGACTATTGAACTTCTCTGCACTTTCATTCTCTTCAGCATCTTGACCCCTCAAGTCTTCCTACCAATGCCTTCAAAAAGATATCTTTTTAAGTTTTATTCAGCATTGCTAGTTTCTTTTAGCAGGAGGATCGGTCTACCCATCCATGTTAGTTCAAAATGGAAATGCTCTCCATATTGTTAAAATAAATATCTGACTGATAAATGTAAATTACATGCTGTAATTAATCTATCTCGTATCAAAATAATGTTACAAATTTTTTTTGTAGGAAAAACACTGATTATTCTTATATTGCATTCTATTTCTCCTCTATTATATAGCAATCTCCTTAGACACAGAGACCATGTATCTCTGCATAGAAAAATAAATTTGAATCCAGTTATTGAATACTTATTCATGCAATTCAAAAAACACTAGAATTATTACTTTCAGCATATTAGAGATTCTCAATTAATGTAGTCTATTATTATCATTATTATTATAAGTGTATTATTCTATTTCTCCAATGCAATTCTCAGTAAAACAATAAAGTTGTTACACTAATAAAATTTGCTGAGACTGACTTAGCTATTTATCTAATTCGGTAAACTTAGTTTAATGGACAAAGCAATCATCATGTAAAACTAAGGTCCTTAATTCTTCTCTTACCTGAAAAACAGACTATACTTATCACCACTTATGTTAATCTCCTTATTAAGATCAAGAATTATTAAGTTTTACACTAGACACATACATACAACAGTGTAACAGTCATCAAATACATATGCTAGCAAAGGAAAGTTTATGTAGACAAATGAAAAATAATCTGATAAATTCAAAATTTAACCAAATTTGTCCACCCTCTTTGTTTAAGTATTATAGATAAAGGTAAATTTTAACGGATGTAAACTCTTCCCATTTGTCTGAATATAAGCCAACTTCATTAAATGCTTTCTGAGTTTCTGTTTTGTTTTGAGAGCCCACAGGGTCAAGCAGTTAGTATTTGCCAAAATATCCCATGTCATTAAGACAGAAATTAAGTCATCTGGACCAAACTTTGTAGGAACAGCCATATTTTGAAAAAATTAAGATAAATTCTGGCTGCAGGTCGAAATGATAGTGATAGCAAAACTTTAACTGCTAGTTAGCCTGGTTAAACTCTGCTCTGAAATGTCTTTTGTTAACCTGATCTCTCTATTTAGAACTCCATTACCCTGTGTTTAAAACAAAGGCACCTCATTCAAAGCAGGCTATAATTGCAGTCTTTCAGCAAAACAGCATTTACCAAAACATGTCCTTTAGAATGTGGTACAATTTATCACCCCCACGGTGCATGACACATAATTACATTTGTCACCGCTTTAATTGGATGTTACATGTCAGTAATGACTCATCAGCCCCAGAAGTTATGAAAGATGAATTCTCACTACCATACTTTAGAATTTGCTCCAAAAATAAAACTAAAGAAGAGTTTATTTCTCACTCGGGGTAGAAGCTACATTTGGGAGAAAAACTAATCTGTGCTTTAGAAAAATAACTATGTATTTCATTTATTGACAGCAAGATGATTGCCTGCAATGTTTCTCATTACCCCTAGATCACAAATGAGTAAATCACTGTCAGACAAACCAAGGTTAAAACTGTGTGTGTATATTTTAACATGATGCAAAAAAAAAAAATTAAAAAACCTCCATCACTAGGAGAGAATTGTTAATTTAGAGAATTTTTCAGATTCTGTGATCTGATAAGCTCTGCAACCCAGTCATCGCTGAAATTAAATTAGGTTTCAGAAAATGAATATTTCATTTTTAAGATTCTGTTGCTTGGAGACCTGGGAAGACAAAGCTGGTTTAGCCCAAGACAGGAGAGATGTTATAAGGGGCAGCATTTTCTATGGGAAACTGCCAGAGAATGCCTAGGAAAAATCACACAACGGAGACAAACAATGATGATGGTACAAATGGATTCATTACAAATGCCACAATGCATGTTATTTCTTCTAAGCTGAAGAAGTCTCACTCTACCCTTCACCCGTGTTATTCAGACTTAAATTGGGAAAAATATCATCACACCGTAGACCCAATCTACCTACCTTTTGTTTTAACAGACTCAAGGGGGAAAAAAAGCAAAGCAAATGTAACCTCAGTGGCAAAGCAAAGGGTGCTTTCTCTACCAAGGATGTTCACTAAGTTATAGGGATATGTAAACCCAATTCTACATGTTGCTTAGGTCTATAGTCACCTGGCTACATGTATTTTAATCAGCATCATAAACATTGATTACACTCCTTTCACTATCAGTGAAGGTACATGGTTTTAAGAGATCTTCCACATTTTGGGTGTGGTGGAATGCTAATTGTTTCCCAGAATCTGTAATAGCAGAATCCCCTGAGCTTTACCTGGGTGCAAGATTACTCACCTGAAGATTACTTTTCCCAGCCTTGCTTGTAGGTAGGTGTGGCCATTGCACTGTGTTTGACCAATGAGATGCTGGCGGAAGCCAAGTTTGTAACTTGAGATTATATTTTTTACAAGGGGGCCCCTTCTTGTGAGCTGGAGTGGGAAGGTGATGGTGTGAGCCAGATTTAATCATGTGAAGCTATACGTAAGGCATGGCAGAGCAACACAAAGAAGTAACCTGGGTCCTTTAATCTCATGGAACAAAGTAAATTAATCAATCTGTACCTCCTGCCCAATTGTAAACTGTAAGGTGAGAGATAAATAAATGTTTATCCATTAGTCTGCACTGAGGGTATCTTTTTTATAGCAATATAGCCTGTACCCTAACTTTCAATTTTAATAGTCTCAAGAGATAGTTTTTCCTCCTATCATTTGTTTAAGTTTACCACCATTCTACCCACTCTGATTCTCATCTTCCTTTCTCAGTTCATTATAGTAGATACAAATTGGGGTTGCAACCTAACTTTTCAAGATCTTATCTGTGCCACCCCTTTTTTTTCGGTTACTGCTATCCCCTACCTAATCCCCACCCAGAATTTTAACGTGTGTTCCTAATGTGAAATGCATCTATCTATGTGACCCTGTCTCCATGATCACAGTGATTGCCTTAGAAATTGGCACATGCCACATGCAGGAACAGTCAGTTCTTTCCTAGGATCTTCCTCGGGAATGGGCACTTTCTCTCTTCTGAAATAGATTCCCTGACTTGTAAAGGACTTCTTACAGTGGGAAAGAATGAGGCTGATTTAAGGAAAGGAAGAAGACAAATCCCAGTGCTTGTCTCCAGTTATCCTAAGCCAGAGCCCTAAATTTCACAGGTCATTTAAGTCCCCCCAAAAATTATCTTGATATAGGCTAGTTTGAGCTGGCTTCTGTCATTAGCAAATAGAAGATTTCTGATTAATACTCTCTGGAAATTAATTTCATTATTGTGACACTGTCCTATTATACTTAAAACATCCAGGCTTTTGTGGTATTTTCCCCCAGAAGCATCAAGAAGCAAACAATCAATGATTTAGAAAACCCAATGTCATATAATATCTAGTTTTAGATATATTTCTTATATATGATTAAATTTCACTCTTTAAAGCATGGTTTTATTCTTCCAGGCTAAACATAAGTTGCTGCAATCCATAAATGTTACTCTAATTTTGTTCCTGCCATGCTACACCAAATGATCACTTCAAAGCAGCAGCTAGATCATAAGAGAAAAAAGTTTATTTCTGTTAGACTACTCAGCACATGACATGGAGGTTAACCACCTTGAGAAAGAAAAAAAAATCATAATGCTAAATCTAAAAGCACATGCCACACCATAAGAATGACTGCTCTTTTCAGTACATCTGAATGTTGGAAAACGAAAAGGTTGATCAGCTGTCTGTTCATAAAGTGAGGGCCATTTCACAGGCCAGGTTTGATTAAAGAATTAATCTCAGTGATCTAACTGAAACATTTTTTAAAAGAAATTGAAGGGGAAAGAGGCAGGCGCTTCTAACTTTAGAGTGGGGTACTCTGTGAATCTTACAGAGATGGATGTGACTGGCTGCATTAGTGGTGACTGGGTAGTTTCCATATTGCCAGTGCAGTATGATCATTTAAGATAAGGCACTCTCTTTGAATAACTGATGAACAGTAATTCTCCCTAGCAGACCGAGACTTAATTTTAATCAAATAAAAGTGCTTGCTGGAAAGGGTGTGAGAACCATTTCCGAGGTGTCAGAGCTCATGCGCAATACACATTTAAGGAAGAATTTCTTTCATGTTCTTTGACACCAAAGCTACTCCCAAGAATCAAAGTACAGAAAAATTCCTATGATGAATAGGGTCTGACAAGGGCCACCATATCAAAATTCTCTCTGCAGCTGCCAATCATCACTGACTGACAGAATAGACAGTCCCTGTTGCTAGAGCCTTAAAGACGAACTTATTTTTAATCTAATATCCAGTAGGAATATGTTCTAGCCTTCTACTATGATTTCGTGACTCATACTAATATTCTATTTTCAGCAAGGACTAAGAGACACCCCTAAGGAAGAAAAGTAGTAGTAGGTGAGTCATGGTTTTCCTTTTCCTGATAATTCTTAATTGTTCACAGCATAACTATTTTTCCTCGGATTATGTCTTTGTGGGTGTCTGCCAATTTACAAAGCTGGGTCAAGAAATGATTTACTTTTTTCTTCAATTAAGTAATGAGTAGTTATTGTGTAAATGAATGCATAGAATTGTTAGGCAGAATAGAAAGGAGAAAGTACTAGACATTCTTTTCTAAGAAGTTAATAATCCATTTGAGGGGAAGACAGAACTCGGAGTAGAAATCAATTTAAAACCTCAAAAGACAGCAGTCCACTTGAATGTACTTCTGCATAAGTGGAACAGACTGATATTTCTTAAATTTCAGTCGCATGCTTGATAATCTGATGCCATTTCTCTTGCTACTTTCATATGCCGCTGGAATTATTATTATTTACTCAGTGTTTTTATGTAAGTGAAATCATTTATTTTTTCCTTAAATAACCTCATAATCAAAGGAAACTTTAGATAACTACCATAAATGGAAACAGCCTTATTTGCCATGAATTAGAAAATATAAAAGCAAATATACTATTAGGCTGGTGCAAAAGTAATTGCGGTTTTTGCCATTGTTTTTAATGGCAAAAACCGCAATTACTTTTGCACCACTCTAATAAAAATAAAATAATGTTAAAGTTTCAGCTATGTTTGCCTGCTAAAGGGGCTGAGAACTACAATGCATCTGTAAAATCTCAAATCACTTTTCTTTCACCCAAAGTCATCATGGTACCACCAGTAATATGTGTCTCATACTTAGGGAGACATTACTTAAGAATAACAGTGAAAGGAATTCAGAAGAGGGAACAATCTGTGGGCCTGGTGATCTGCTAAGGCTTCATGGAAGATGCAAGATTTGAGTAGAGCTTGAATCCACAGTCATGGTTATCCAACTACTGGACCCAGGGGCAGAAATGATTTGGGCATTTAGAGAAAAGAGTTGAGACATGGGAGTAGTATACAAGTGATGCTAAGCTTGCTTTCTTAATCGACCATCATATCTGACCTAGGACTTCAAAAATGACGGCTGATTAACATTTACTAGTAGCTTACTCTGTTCCAAACACTAAGCTAGGCATTTTCGCATATTTCCTCTTTCGATCCTAATAATATAAGGAACCTGTTATTATCCTCATTTTATAGATAAGCAAACCAAGGCACAGACTAACTCAAGGTCACATAGCTTTAAAAGTAATTGAATTGGGGATTTCAATCCAGTTCCTTCTGTGTATCCAAAGCCCATATCTTCTACTTCATACTATGTTTACAGTGAAACTGTGAGGTGACAACCATTGGTCATTTCAGGCAGTTCTCATGAAAAGACTGTAGTGGAAGCTAAGAACGGAGAAGAGAGGAGGGAGCTTCTCCTTTGCTATGTCCCTAAATGACCTGAGTGATGGAAGCTAATAAACACCCAGGTAAACGTGAGCATTCCAGCATTTTCTTTGCTTCTGGAATGCCATAATTTGTCCTTCAGTAGTGAAAACAAGAGCTTCAAGTGAGTTCTCCCTACTCCGAAACTGGAAAATATCAGCTGTGCCTATCAGCAGCATCAGTGACCAAAAGTTGACCTTGCTTAGTTAATCAGTAGAGAAACTAATCAGTTGGAAAAATGCAAATTTGTTTTCTGCACAGAGTTGGAAACTCATTACCCTGAACCACTCCTTAAATTAAGTTCAGAGTAGTGACTCAAAATCTGGGTCAGATAAGGAACAATGTAAAGCTGTAATAAGCAGGCTTGAGAGCAGGAGCACTCTTTGAATCCCATCATTGAAGGCATTTGTGTTCATTTCTTCTTAGGCCCCTTAACTGTGTCTACAGAACAGAAAATGGCCAACTCAGTTTGGATTGGATTGTTTTTTCCTAGCTGTCCCATATTTATGTGGATGAAAATTTTCTTGTAATGCGTTTTAGTTTCAGTTTGAACAGTGCCCTCTGATCCTTTAGCCCAACTGTCAAACCTTAAGCTACTTTATCTTTCTAAACAAACGGTGGATTGCTATAACCTATTACCTGGGTCATCAGATTCCAGAGGTGAACATCTCATGGACTAACCCTGTCCCTTGCTACCTGGAACCCCTGGGTCACTGTGAGAAAGTAGAACTGTGTCTTTGTTTTTGAAATGCTAATTATGATTTAAAATCAGTGGCTGTCATTCAGCGCCCCAGTGGGACAAGCCAACAGTGGTACACCATTTCCTTTTCTCATTCCCCCCAAATGATAAAGCAACTTTAATAAAATTAGCCCTAGGCCGGGTGTGGTGGCTCATGCCTGTAATCCCAACACTTTGGGAGGCCTAGGAGGGCAGATCACTTCGAGGCTGGGAGTTTGAGACCAGCCTGGCTAACATGGTAAAACCCTGTCTCTACTAAAAATACAAAAATTATCTGGCTGTGGTGGCATACAGCTGTAGTCCCAGCTACTCGGGAAGCTGAGGCATGAGAATCGCTTGAACCCGGGCAGCAGAGGTTGCAGTGAGCCAAGATCAAGAAAATTAGCCCTGTCCCTCTGCACTTTTGCTAACTTCCCTTCCAGCATGCCTTGGAGAACATGTGATTGATTCCCAGGCACGTCAGTTCAGAAGGCATCTGCCAGAAAGTGGCACTGAGGAAGACATTTAATGCAATGCACAGTGTTTCTGTGCAGTAGGAGATTCTCTAAGTTAGTACTTCTGTTTTATAATGAAATCATCAGCAACAAGAAAGAGTTGTCTAGAACTTTGAAACAAAATGCCTTAGGATTCCAAATAAATGTTATTTTGACTAATGCATTCATTACTTTATGTACCTACTATGTTCCTGGCATCAGGCCAAGTTGCGGGAGGTTCAAAAGTTAATTGGCCAAAATACCTTGAAAAGCTCAAAATGGATCTCATAGGTGAGGCAGATGAATTGTGACAAGTGAGACAAGTGCAATGATAGAAGTGTCTACAGGTGCAACAGTGGTGCCATTTTCTCTTTCTCCCTCAAAAATCTTAAAGTTAGCAATAGGTAGAACTTTAACCTGGAGAAGATATGATAGGAAAAGCTGTGGATATCAATTGCTGTCATCAGATAGTCAAAGAGGTACCACAGAGAAGGTAAAATAGTATTTCTCTGCATTGCTCAAGAAAGCTTATCTGGTTAAATATCCACAAGAGGTATTTTAATTTGAAAGCGGTAGGAACTTTCTCCTAAGTAGGGTATTCCCGTAAGATGCTATCTTCTTTAAGAATTACCAAACTATCCTATTTTTATGCTACAAGTGGCCAGTCATACATTTTTCCACCTTGCTAGGCATGTTTCTTTGCCATCAGCTCACTTCTTTTGTGAGAACGTCTCTTATTTTTATGCCCTGTGCAGAGACAGGAGCACTTAGCCATGTTGTACCTCATGATCACACCCCACCCCATCCTAGCTAATTGATCCATGATCAGATCTATAACCCAGGGCCAGGCAATCATTGGCTCTTTTTCCTGAAAACTTGAATTAAGAGCCAAAGAGACTGTGGTCGTTCAGTCACATGTGTCCAGTTGGTAGACTCATGACTCGTGGCACTGTTGGGCTGTGTGCATAGAAATATAGCCAGCTCAAAGAGAGGCTGCCAAGAAAACAGGACTATGGCAGAACACAGATGCTAAGAGAGAGAAACAGGACCAAGTAGCTCCTGAAACTGTGAGTGGGATTTTCATTTCTTCTGATTTCTAGTTCCTATGGCATTGGCTGTGACTCTGAGTTTGCCCATCAAATCCTTAAAATAATCCTTCCTTCCTTGAGCCAGATTCAGTACATGTCTGTCCCATACAACCAATGATACCTACTCTAACATTACCAAATATAAACAAGTTTATATTTCTCCTTCAAGAATTAAACAGCATCTCTACACACTTCTGCCTGCAACCTTAAACAAAATTATCCTTTAATTAAACATCGTTCCTTGAACTTCATTTTTATAATCATTATTATATTATCATCCGTTTCTTTTGTTCTTACACATGAAGAATAGTTTGAGAGGATCCAAAAATGCTGAAGTCAGAATCATTTTCCTCCAGAATTGGGAATTACTACTCTATTATTACTACTATTTTTATATTATACATGATTATATTATACATTTTATATTATAGAAGTATATTATACATACATTTTTATATTATATATAATACAATGCCCGACTGATTCTCCTTCTTTAATAAATGCTACACCCTTTTTTCTGAAATTGTGTAGGTTTCTCTCTACATATCTTAATAATTCAAAAATAGCACTAGTATATGTCTCTGTGTGTTTCTTTTCCAAGTCACTGCCTGGCATTTAGTGTCCTCTTTTAACCTAAAGACTCAAGAATTTCTTCATTTGAGGGATTTATCCATTTGTTCTATTATCACTTTTTTTTTTAACTTTTCTCCCCATCTATGTTTGTTCTTTCTGTAACGCCCATTTGATATCCCATCTCATAGATTTATCCTGTGTATCTTCTCTTTCTTCCATAATTTTAATTTTGCTCCTTTTCGCTCTGTATTTTAAGAAAATGTCTATTGTTAAGTTATCAGTTTACTATTTCACTGTTTGGCTATTTAGTGTTTATAGTCTATTTTTGATTTGGATAAACATTTGTTTTCTATGAACTCTTTCTGTCCTTCAATTACCTCTTTTTTTTTTTTTTTTTGGAGACGGAGTCTCGCTCTGTAGCCCAGGCTGGAGTGCAGTGGAGTGATCTCGGCTCACTGCAAGCTCCACCTCCTGGGTTCACGCCATTCTCCTGCCTCAGCCTGCCGAGTAGCTGGGACTACAGGCGCCCACCACCACTCCTGGCTAATTTTTTTGGGTTTTTGTTTTTTGTTTTTTTGAGACAGAGTCTCACTGTATTGCCCAGGCTAGAGTGCAGTGGCGCAATCTCGGCCCACTGCAACCTCTGCCTCCCGGGTTCATGCCATTCTCCTGCCTCAGCCTCCCAAGTAGCTGGGACTACAGGCGCCCGCCACCACGCCCGGCTAATTTTTCGTATTTTTAGTAGAGACGGGGTTTCACTGTATCCGCCAGCATGGTCTGGATCTCCTGACCTCGTGATCCGCCTGCCTCAGCCTCCCAAAGTGTTGGGATTACAAGGCGTGAGCCACGGCGCCCAGCCTACCTCTTTTCTTTTTAAACACGTACTGCTCTTTTAAAAATTTTATGCACATTTATGAGATTAGTAGTTTAAATTTTTTTAATTTGATCAGATTCAAAAACAAGATTTGTATCTCCTTGGCAGAAATGGAAGACAAATGTAAAACATCTAATAAGGTGAAATTGAGAACTTGCAGCAGGGGCTAACACTGTGACTCCCACTGAGTATTTGGATCTAAATGTAACCCACGCAAGATGGCAGACCATGGTTAGAAAGCAAGGGACACCAGAAGGGAGCAATAGATTCACTTTGAAAAGGAAAAAATCAACAGGCAATACAAACAATTCCTGTCATCCTAGAATGTTAGAGTTCTCTTATTTTTTTGTTTTTTTGAGACGGAGTCTCGCGCTGTGGCCTAGGCTGGAGTGCAGTGGCACGATCTCGGCTCACTGCAAGCTCCGCCTCCTGGGTTCACGCCATTCTCCTGCCTCAGCCTCCGGAGTAGCTGGGACTACAGGCACCCGCCACCATGCCCGTCTAATTTTTGTGTGTGTGTGGATTTTTAGTAGAGACGGGGTTTCACTGTGTTAGCCAGGATGGTCTCTATCTCCTGACCTCGTGAGCCGCGCCCTCGGCCTCCCAAAGCGCTGGGATTACAGGCGTGAGCCACCGCGCCCAGCCTCTAAAGTTTTATTCAAAGAGGGGGCCAGAATAAATGTTTTTAGACATATAAAGATTTAGAGAATTTGACAAGAGATTTTCTTTCTTAAAGTATTATTAGCAGACATACTATATTAGAAGTTTAGGGCTCCAATTATAAACAGAAAGCTTCACATCCCAATACAGTATGTCTGATAATAATCACTTTATTGAGTGTGATCTCTGGACAATTACATTTACATATATTTAATAAAATCATATATCTATATGTGTATATGTACATGCATATGTATGTATATGTGCATATATGTGTGTATATATACATATATACACATGACTGTGTTGTTTATATAAAAAGCAATCTGAAGAAAATATGGCAAAATGTTCACATTGCTAGATTTGTCTGGTTGATGGTGTCAGATATGGTGCTATTTTTCTGTACATTTGAAACATTCTATGTTAAATATTTTTAAATAATTTCAAAATAGAAAGTCAATGAACATGCCTCGTACAGAAGCATACACTCCAGGCATCTGAGAATATCAGTAGGTGTTCCCTGGCGGGCTCATCAGATCATTGGTGTTGAAGCTGTTTTTTATGCTTATCATAGTAATGCTGCCTACAGTGAACTGTTTAAGAAAAAAACAAAGACAATTTTAAAATCAGCCATGCGTCTCTGAGAAATATTTTTCACTATTCGAGCTTAGGTTTACTTGAGTTGTAAGTCTTTTTACTGTGGGGAAGGGACCAGATTTGGCAGGAGGATTGTTGCAAAAGAATGGTGAGAGAAAAGCAAGTGCTGTCTCCCCTGGTGAAGGGGGACTATCTTTAACAGTCTCTTTCCTCGGATTCATAAATGGATTTCTGCCTCATCTTGCAGTAAATCTGAGACCAAAAGAATTCATAGGGCCTCCTAATGCACGTAATGCAGCATGACTGATGAAATGTGGCAGGCACAACCCAATATCTAGTTTTCTGAAAACCACACTGAAATGAACCATCCTGGCCAGAAAGTTAAAACAATACACAGACTTGAACAACCACCAAAGTTATTTTCCTTGATTCAGTCGTCTTCTCAGGCACTTTGCAATTTGGATTACAAAGCACTGTGTATTTTCTGATGGTGGGTGACAGCTACTGTTTATTCCCAGAAACTCAAATTAATGGTTTTGTTAAATCGACTTTCACCACTGCACACATAAGTCATCCCCTGGGGATCTGTCTAAAGGTCTAAGCCAGTTTCATGTACTTCAAAATGAGTGCTCTTAAGCAAACAGCAAGAAAATTGGTTACCTGAATCTTGAAAGTAAATTGAGGTGCTGCCTGCAAGGACACAGAAGGGTCAGAAGAAACAGGTATAAAATAAGAACCAACTTCATTGGCCCTTCCCTAGCACAACAATCATGTCAGTAGACTGGACCAGTGATTCCAACACAATGGGAAAGGTTGGGATTAAGAAGCGTTCTGTTCCCATTTAGTTCTTTTCCTGTGTCTCTCAGCCTCAGTTGTTCGATCTGTAACACTGGATTCCAGCTTCCTGTTTAATGATTCCATAGATGAGGATGAAATGCAATTACAAATGGGAAAATATCCGTAGATGACACAACACCATAAATGTATACAGTCACCATCTAGATAGTTGGGTGAATGTTTCACATTGGTGGCTTAGACTCAGTGAAAGCAGCATACTGAACTACAATGACTTCTCAGGGCCTAAGATTGTCATATAAAGTGGTTGTAATCATGTAAAGGCATTATGAGAAGGGCAAGAGAAAATAGCTGCAAAATCACATTGCAAAGTTAAAAAGATGGGGCAAATATCAGGTGTGGTAATCTTTTATGAGCGTTCTGACAGCATCCTTCTGTCATATGTTGATGAAAGAGACAAAGAAACACCAGTTCTTAGCAACAATGTCAAGGAAATGACTGTAGGGCTCTGCATGTGGGGCAGATTTGTCTCCATTATTTGGATATTTCAAGGAGAAATTGGGAGAGTTTTTTCTTATTTAATTTCATGTGAGTTGCCTGGAAAATTGCCACCATTCTCGATTTCATTTTTTTATTGGGCATTCTGAAATAAAATGATTAACCAGTGTAGGTAGGGACTACATGCTCATTTTTGGAGGGATTCTGAAGACAACTTATAAAGGATGCTATAAAGGTTAGGTAATGACACATGTCTTATTCAGGGTGAAAATGTTGGGTTTTCTTTAGTAATATAAATTCTCCAAATACTGGCCTGCCTAAAAGATTTAAAATTGATATCATCTACTCAAAGATCATAGGAAAGAACACAAATGGGTTAGACCAAAACCATAGACCTACTTTAAGTGCTCAAAAACCAAGAATGAAAAGTCAAGATTGACAAGGATTTGATTCAGGTTCCAATAAAGCCCTTGCCAGAGCAATGGAGCAATGGGAGTACAAGGTTAGGGATCTCTGGTCTGCAGGCAGGCACTTAACTCCCACATTTGTGTATTCTCCTGTAAAGTGGAGATAATGCTACAGTATTTGCACTTTGCTGTACAAGGCTATAGATGGGAATGTGGTTTCAAAAATATAAAGCCCTGTGGAAATGCAAGTTATCTTCGTTACACTGACAGACAATTCAAGAGTGTTTGGTTTCCACCACTCTGTGCTGGTCACCAAAATAATGCGGTAGTCATAACGCAAAAGCAATATTTAGCACTACCCTCCAAAAGAAACTCTGGACTGGCAATATTTTGCATGCTCTTACACAGAGTCCTCAACCAGGTGTGTCCACAGTTCTCGGGGAAGTCCATGGATTCACTTCAGTGGAGTCTCTGTTTCCTCTAAAGTTCTATCATATATGTGCGTTTATTTATATGTGTATGTGGTCAGTATGTGTGTGTGAATGTGAGTGTGCACACAGAGTTTCATCAAAGTACCAAAGGGATCCATGCCTCTCTTCATGAAAAGCATCACCTCCTTTTGGTAGTTACACATCCTCTACATAATCTGTATTTCATTGTAATTGTTCCCATTTTTATAAGGAAAAATAGCCTGCAATGTATTTAGACTGAACAGCCTATTCTCAGACAATGTATTCCCTAAACATAGTCATTTACTCAAAGGTTGTCATTTCTTTAAATTTCTGTTCTGTGTACTCCCTTTTCTGGCAGGCATTGAAATAGTGTATTTCAATGAAGGTTGAGGGTTGACTCTGAAGGCCAAGATGCAAACCTGGCAAGCAGAAGGCTTGTGGTTTTGATAAATCCCGAGCCATTGTTTGATAGGAAAAATGATCATAATGTGTTCAGTAGGAAAAATAGCAGGCCACAAATATTAAAGCTAAAGACTTTCATTGCAGCCTTGATGCAGACTGGCCAATGGACAGTATCTCACCCTCAACTGCCTTATTACCTAGTTGGTTGAGAGTTTCCTGATAATTCTCAGAACATAATAACCCTTCCAGTGATGGCAACAGACTCTCTCTTCCACAGCTGCTGCATCAATGGTAGTCATCTCTAAGTGGTGTGGAGGACTCTACCACATCACAAACAAATCTCAACCCAAATCTGTTGAAGTGCTTTGTTTGGTTCATGGATTCTCAATTCAATTCTAATGACATTTGTATGCTCCCAATATCACAACATTGATATCTAAATTTCCTTTGGTTCCTAAATACTAGGATTGCCATGTTTGCTGTAAGAAGGTATATGTTGCCTTCTATTTTCATTTGGTAAATAATACATTTTTGTTAAACAAGGCTGATTGCCATAGAAGCAGCTGAGCTCAAACAATAGATACAAAGCTTGAAATGTAGTGATACTAAAGATCTAACCATCAGCACAGTGAGAACTTCTTGTTCTTGATCATGATAATCAAAACCAACCTTGCCAAGGCTTCTTAAAGTAAAAAGGGCTGGATAAAATGCCATTGTCTGATTCTTTTGTTTTATAGGGTAATATGCAAAATCTTCAGCTTTTCCTAAGCAGTATATAAATGTCCTCAAAATTCTACCCTTTAGCATAATGGAATATTTTGATGCTTTTATAGTGTTTTGTTTTGTTTGTTCATTTTTGTTTTTTGCATTCAGTACTATTTACAACTTTTACTAAAAAAAAAAAGCTTTAAAAAAACTTCCATAAAACTTGCTCACCAACTTATGAGTAGGGTTACTTTAAAAAAGAAATCGGAGGCTGGTGGTTAATAATGTGCCTGCCTTAAAGCTTAACAAAATAACTTCCCATCGAGTATCTGTAAATTAATGACTAATCCAACTTTTAACACAAGTTCACTAGAAACAAATGTTTTACATATACATGGCAATCAATAAAGAAGACAAAAATATACGGATGTGTTTAATCATTTATTTCTTAAATTCCATCATGTGTGTTGGTGTTTGGCATGCAAATACCATGGTTTGTTGTGAAAATATAACATACGTGAATTGAATTCATGGCCAAAATAGCAAACAAATAGTTGTTTTCATGTTTTAATGTTTAACAATAGTATTCATATTTTTAAATATAAATATATGTCTATGTGAGTGGATATACATATGTGAACATTCAGACACAGACATTTTAATCTTGAATCTTTTGTTTTTATTTAAAAAAAATCAAAAAGTTAGTTAACATCTCAAGTTTCAATATCAGATTTTTACAGCCAGAATGCAAACAGCAAGGGGGTTAAAAAGCAGTTACTTCTTGTATGTGTTTGCCTCAAAAGCATCTTCTCTAGAGCTGACCCCATTGGCTAAAACCTTCTTCTTTTGTGCATTGTTCTTGATTTGGTGTGTCACCTGTCTCTTGTTTGTCTATAGATTAGCACAAAAATGTCATTGCAAACTAAGTGAATAGGGCACAGCCTCAGCACCTGCCACTTTTAAAACTCTTTAGAAGATTCCCTTGTTTATTTTGTAGGCACCCAGGGGGGCACTTAAATAACTGCATTGAAACAAACAATACTGGTGATGATTAAGGAGGCTTTTCACATGAAAATTCACTTCAGAAAAATGTTTTGCAGATGTACTGAAGAAAACTGTATCACTAAGAACCACTCAAAATACTTTGGTGGACCAAAACACCTTTATATTTCTTCTGGCAACCTGCCAAGTTCACTGCCGGCTTGAAAAGAATTCTATAGCTGGAGGCTAGAGCAGAAACTGCAATGATTTAAAAGAGAATTGGCTACAGTAAGAACGATAATGCCCTATATCGTTAAAATGCAACTGGCATCTCAGTCTCCCTACAGCTCTTTGAAAATGTGCTTACTCTTCAACTATTTACAAGGAAAAATGCGGAGACAATTGAAATCATAGGAAATAAAAATTATTTTAAACGGCTGAGAAGTATTTGCCAAATGATTTATCAGTAGTGCTTATAAAATAATGGCATGTTCTCAACTGTTAAATGAGTAAGAAATCCATGCAGAAATTCTGCTCATTATGAAACTCACCCACCAAACACAAACCATTTTCATGATGCCCTAAATTAATTAATGCCGACTGTAAACACAAAAACAGTTGGCTGAAAATTAAGATGTGAACACAAACGGACACCGTTCTGATATGATTGGTGTATCTTAGCATTTGACAGAAACAAAGAGACCTTTGGTTACTTTTCTGGGTGATTATGGAGAATGAATATGTGGTCTGGCAAGCTAAGGAAAATCACAGAGTCCATGGACCAAATTAAAAGGTATCTCTTCAGCGTTTGTACAAAAACCAACAGGAACATCTGTCCAGTAGTTTAGATTATAATAAGCCACAAAGACACACGTATAAATTCAGTATTCAACACATTATACAAAATCCATTATTATTTTTTCTTTATGTAAAAAATAAGTAGAATTCTTCTTTCAGTTGAATACAAATACCTCTCCATTTAAATTTGCTCTCGTGAATACACAAAAGTCAATGTGGGAGTCAAGAGTAATTTGCAAGGAAACTCAACATGGGAACTGTGGAGAGGAAGCAGTCGGTTTAGCAGACCAATCTTTCAATGCATGTCAAAACTTAAATAAGCCGTGCTGGCACCTGGCCTCAAGGGGCTTAAGGCACAAGGGCATAATGTAAATATATGGTATCAGCCAAGGTTATTGACTCCTCTCATAGAGGTATGTCTCAAGTGTAGTGGGAAGATTGACATGGAAACATTTTCTAAAAGCCTAAATGTGTACAATCAGATAAAAACTCATGGAGTGGGACTTTTGCAGCTCTAATCCAGACACCACATTTCAATCCCCAATAGCCATGCCCATCTTTACAGTCAAAAAAGAATAGTTCTCAGTTATACCTGCCACTAATTACTGACTTCTTTCTTTGCTGTGCAAACAAAAAATCACCGGTGACATATGACAAAGTCTTGACTAAAATAACCTATCACTGAGAATTTAATTCAATTATGTTTACTGTTTTATCCTCTCCTGATGGTTTCAAGTTCCATCAATATGCTAAATCTGTATTTACAGGCTGAACCTGCTTCCTGAGTTCCAGACGCCTAAATGTGATCTCCTTGATTTCTAGATGAGTCTCTCCTGCCTCCAACTCAACAGTCCTTGTAGAACTCATCATCTCCTTTAACCTTACATAAACCTGAGCACATCCTCCATTAACTAACCACGCAGTTACACGAGGCCAAGCATTGAGTGTCATTCCTGGCTTTCCCTTCTATACAGTTCCCGCAATTATATCCAATCAATCCACTGAATCTAGTCCTGTTGATTCTACCTTCTTAGTACCTTTCAAATATATCCTTGGCCTCCATCCCTATCCCAGTATCCTAGTGTTCAGGGCACCATTGCCTTTCATTAGATTGCCACAGGAGTCTCCTCACCTGATTCTCAACTGCTACCTTGTCTGCACATAAAACAGCTTTACAATAGCCAAAATGATCCTTCTAAATTTAAATTTTGATTTCTGCACTACCCTGCTTGAAACCTCACAAAGGCTGCCCACTGGCCATATGACAACACATAATCATAATCTAGTTTCTAAATATCACTTCAGATTGTTCTCCTCCCAGGACCCAGGGGACATTCCAAAATAATGCATTCTTTCAGGCTCTCAAAAGAACCACTTCCAGGCGAGTCCTTCTCTCACTTCATTGCTGACTAACTCCGCAGCTCCTTGGAATTTAGTATAGCTATTACCTCTTTCCAGAGCTGTTTGCTGGCACCCCAATGGCTGCCCTAGGTCCTATTTTCCTGTGCTTACTAAGATCTTAGCATACAAGCACATGTCGTTTCATTGCACTTCACCTTATTGAACCTTGTGGATATTGTTTTACTGTGTTGTCTATCAGTGCCATATTTTCAACAGCACATGCTCACACATGTCTCTATATCACATTTTGTTCATTACCACAACATTTCAAACCTTTTTATTATTATTATAACCATTGTGGTGATCTGTGATGAGTGATCTTTGATGTTACTATTATAATTGTTTTGGGGTGCCACAAACCTCACACATATAAAACAATGAACTTAATTGATAAATTTTATGTGTGTTCTGACTACTCTACTGACCAGCCATTTCCCCATCTCTCTCCCTCTCCTCGGGCTTCCCTATGCCCTGAGCCCATACATCAAGTCAATTTTGACTTTCAAGTTTTATTATTTTAGAAATACGTTTCATAAGGCTACAGCTGCCATACATAGATAGTGATTCCTCTATGGATCTGGGCAAAGTTAATTGAAAACTCCCTGGAAAGGATTCAACATTCCAGATGTCATTAACAACAGTTATGATTCATGGAAGGAGGTGAAAATATCAACATTAGCAGGTGTTTGCAAGCAGTTGATTCCAATCCTCATGGATGACTTTGAGGGTCTCAAGACTTCAGTGGAGAAAGTAACTGCAGATGTGGTGGCAATAGCAAGAGAAGTAGAACTAGAAGTGGAACCTAAAGATGGGAATGGATTGCTGTAATCTCATGATAAAACTTGGAAGAATGAGAAGTTTTATCATGAGATAAAATAGAAGCTACTATGAATGTTGTTGAAATGACAATAAAGGATTTATAATATTACATCATTAGTTAATAAAGAAGTAGCAGTGTTTGAGAGGATTGACTTGAATTTTAAAAGAAATTCTACTGTAGGTAAATGCTTTCAAACAACATTGCATGGTACAGAGAAATCTTTTGTGAAAGGAAGAGTCAATGGATATGGCAAACTTTATTATTGTCATATTTTTAAAACTTGCCACAGCTACCCCAATCTTCAGCAACCACCATCCTAAATAGTCAGTGATCAATATTGAAGCAAGACCTTTCCACCAGCAGAAAGATCATGATTCACTGAAGGCTCGGATGATAGTTAGCATTTTTGAACAATAAAGTATTTTAAAGTATTTATGTTTTTAGACATATACTATTGCACATGTCATAGACTACAGTATGGCGTAAACATAACTTATACTCACAGAGAAACCAAAAATATTTACGTGACTTATTTTATCACAATATTTGCTTCATTACAGTGGCTTGGAACCAGGACCCACAATATCTCCAAGGATGCCGGTATATCCCACTTCATTTCAATGACCCACTTACTGAGTTACATTCCATACTACATTATCAATGCCTCCAAGTCAGAGACTATGTCTTACTTTTGTTTGTATGTCTAGTTGCTAGAATAGTTCTGAGTGCACAGTAGGTGATGAGGTTTATTTTGATGTTGAACAAATATGTACAACCTGCAAAGATATTTTTACTCAGTGCTTTATCCATTCAGATTTTGCCCTCATGAATCAAAACTGTAGTTATAAATATAAATAAATGTATAAATGCATATATATGTGTGTGCATACAATCAGTTGGCCCTCCATATCTGTGGATTCCACATCCTCTGATTCAACAAACTGGATAAAAAGTATTTTTAAAAATCAATAAAAAATACAAGCTAATAAAAAATACAGTATAACATCTATTTACATAGCATTTGCATTGTATTAGGTATTCTAATTAATCCAGAGATGATTTAAATTATGGGGGAAAATTTATGTAGATTATGTTCAAATACTATGCCATTTTATATACACACACACATATACACACACACATATACACACACATACACATACATACAGATACACATACATATATATTTATAACTACCTATATATTTATTTATGTTTATGACTACAGTACATCATATTTACATAAAAAACTCTGGGCAGAATAATAACTATGGAAACAGAAATGGTAAGTATAATAAATAGGCCAAAACACAACAAAAGGCCCCAGGAATACAGAAGGAATCATCAATCACCACGTTTCACAAAGACGAGCAAATATAAAGAGTCTCAAAGTACTACTTAGACTAGGTAACTTGCAACTTAAAATTCCACCACTGAAGATTGCTGCTTCCAGATAGAACATGACTACTCCCAGGAATTATTTGTAAAATGTAAATACTCTTAGGAAACAGGCTCCATTAAGTCTCCAGATATCTTAACGCTAATTAGTTATGGAATCTCCTTCTGCTGTAATGGAGAATCCTGGGAGTCGGGGTTGAGTCTAGAGAAGACAACAGAAGCAGGCTTCGCCTCCTTCATCATTGTATCCAGAACTGTTTACATCAGGGCCCTGTGCTTGCTAGATGTTGGTATCCTGGGCTTGGTGGGTCACACCTATAATCTCAGCACTTTGGGAGGCTGAGTCAGGAAGATCAGTTGAGGCCAGGAGTTTGAGACCAGCCTGGGCAACATAGTGAGACCCTGTCTCTACAAAATTTTTTTAAAAAGCAAAAAGTAAAAATAAAAATTGAGAACCAACAAAAGATTGTTACTTTGTTTCAGCTTTATTGAGGCCTAACAGAAGTACACTAAATTGCATCTACTTAACATGCACCATGCGATGGGTTTATTTTTAATTTAATTTTAAGTCCCAGGATACATGTACAGGAAATGCAGGTTTGTCACAAAGGTAGACGTGTGCCATGGTTGTTTGCTGCATCTATCTACTCATCACCTAGGTATTAAGCCCTACATACGTTAGCTATTTATCCTGATGCTCTTCCTCACCGCAACCCCCAACAGGCCCCAGTGTGTGTTGTTACCCTCCCTGTGTCCATGAAATATGCATACACCTGTGAAAGCATCACCACAATCAAGACATTTTTACCCCCCCAAAAATTTCCTTGTGCCCCTTTATAATCCATCCTTCCCTCCGCCTTAGCCTGTGCAACTATTGATCTGATTTTTGTCACTCTAGATGAATTTGCACTTTCTCAAATTTTATGTAAATGGAATCACAGAGTATGTGCTCTTTTTGGCAAAGCTTCTTTCACCCATCATAAGAATTTTGAGATGTATCCATGTTGTTGTGTGTGGCAACAAACTTTTTACTTCACTAAAGTGATGATATCTTTTAAACCATTCTTTCTACTATCATAATCATTTTGTAAAAGAGAAGGCCTTTTAACCATCAAAAAAGAGAGGATGTGTCCTCCAAGTAAGAACAGTTGTTCTCCAGAATGAGAAATTGGCAATGTCATGCTGACAAAGAGGGGGAGTCCCTAGGTAAAATAGTATAAACCTCATCACCCAAGGCCAGTCCTTCTCCTGGCCATGAGAGGGGAAGCGCTGCCCCTCACAAAGCCTTATATGCCTCATTCAGGGAGGGAGAAAAGCAGTCCCTCTTGAGACCTGTTTCCATGGTAACCAGTGAGCAATTGACAATGTGGCTGCAGTTGGGCCTCCTTGAAGGGGAAAAATCTTCAACAGGAACCAGGCCACTGAGAGATGGAAGAAAGGACAGCTCATACCCAAACCTCACGAGGAGGCTACAGGAATCACTGGACAGTTCCTTTATTGGGAAAGCCCCCAGTGACTTTCCAATGAAATGGATAGAGAAGGGAAAAGAGACCCTTCGGAATCAGATGAGTCCATGAACTGGCAGCAGTCAGGGCAGTGATGACATCACAGAAGGAGGATGGGCCTTAGACAGACATCACTCTTTAGAATCCCTGCAACTTTGAGCAAGTTCGTGAATCTCACTAAGGCTCAGTTTCCTCCATAAAATTAATCAATATCAGGGCCTCTGCATTGGACAACTCCAGAGGGCACCATTGGGGTTATACCTTGTGTTTGCCTAACCTTCATTGCAGTGGGCAGGTGCATGCTTTCTACAATGTCCTAAGGTCTAAAGGGGTAGAGTTCTGTGTGTGGCATTTTAGGCCTGGAAAGGATGAGAGTCTACAAAACCAGAGAAATACTGCAGGTGAGTGAGGGGCTAAGATCCAGATGCCCCCTGCCACATTGATCCTCTCCAAGACAGGAGGCCCCAGATCCCCAGATCTGAAGCCCTTTTTAAGAGCAAGAGTATCAGCTGATGAATTTCATGCATTGCACACCGTGACTCCCAAGATGGTCTGTCAGATCTCCAGGTTCTGGAGGTTGGAGGTTCCGCTCAGTGACAGCCTGGCGGTACAGCATACCCAGGTTCAAATCCCAGATCTACCACTTAATAACTAGGTAATCTTGGATGGATTACTTAACCTTCTTAAGCCTCATTTACCTCGTGATAATTTATTTTATAGAGTTGCTGAAAGAATCAATGTGAAAATGTACATAAAGTGTTTAGCAAATACAGTAGTGCTCAATAAATGTCAGCTTTGTTGTAACTCTTCAGATTTTCCCTGGGCAAAGTAAAAGCTTTCTTGGAGCCTTTCTCTTAATCAGTCCTGCCTCAAACATCCCTTCTGCTGAAACAAGCTGTGATTAATCCACTGTAGACCCGACACTCCACTAAATGGGGCACAGTGCAGAGGTCCGTAATGAGGATCTTTTTAAAAGTAAAGCATATACATCAGTCTCAACACTTATAAACATCAGAATTACTTGGAAAGGAGGTTTACAAAAATGCAAATGACATTTTGGAAAGCCTAATTCAGTAGGTTAGTTTAGAGCTGTGATATTGTGATTTATAATAAATATATATTTGCTCTTGGTCTCTATTCCTGGCACAGAGCTCCTAAAGTCCTTGGAATGTCCTAAGTGGTGAGTTTATGCTAAAGAGGTAACTTTTGGAAAACCTCTAAGGATGGGGGGCTGGTTGCCAGGGGAGCCAACCATGTGATTAGAAGGTTGGAACTTTCACCACCCACCACCCTGACCTCCAGGGAAGGGAAAGTGGCTGGAAGTTGACTTAATTTGCAATGGGCAATGATTTCATCAATCACGTCTATGTAATGAAGCCTCCACAAGAAAAAAATCTTAACAGAAGACCTTCAGAGAGCTTCCAGGTTGCTGACCACATGGAGGTCATGCCCAGAGAGGGTGTGAAAGCTCCACACCCCTTTTCCATACCTTGCCCTACTTATCTCTTCCATCTGGCTGTTTCTAAGTTGCATCCTTTATATTAAAGCAATAATGTTGTAAATGAACTTTCTCTGAGTTCTGTGACCCATTCTAGCAAATGGTCAAACCCAGGAGGGAATGGTATGAACCTCTGGTTTACAGCCATTGGTAAGAAGCACACATGACAACCTGGACTTTCCATCAACATTTGAAGCGGGAGCAGTCTTGTGGGATCAAGCTCTTAACCTGTGGGGTCTGCTACTAACTCTGGTAAGTGTCAGAATTGAATTGAATCATAGAAAACCCAGTTGGTGTCCATAGCAAATTGGTGTGGACCCTACACGTTTGATCACAGAGGTATTCTGTGTTGAGTGTGCATATAGACAGAAGAAAAGTTTGTTCTTCCCTATTCAAAGGCAGAGTTATTTATCTGTGTTGTTTTGTTTTTAAAGATTCCCTGGGTGATCCTAGTGTGTAGCCAAGATTGAATATTATTGACCTAGAGCAGAGTTGGCAAACTTTTCATTTAAAGGGCCAGTTAGTAAATATTTTAGGCTTTGCAGACCACCTACATATTTTGCCACATATTCTTTGTTTGTTTAAAAATGTAAAAATAATTCTTAGATTGCAGGCTGTACAAAAATAGGCCATACCCAGATTTGGCCCACAGGTCACATTGCTTATTGATTCCTGGTCTAGAGACCATAGCCCTGGAGGTTCCATGATCTAATATATTTTTTGGTTTCATCTAGAATCCAATGAACACATGGACCCAACACTCCTTTGGCCAAGTTGATGATTCTCCACCATTTATTTGCCTGCCTCACTATACACTTCTAGCAAGCCACTGCAAGGCTGCATTGCAGCTAAGAGGAAGCCCTCCTTGAAGGCTGCACAGCAAGGAGTGTTGGCAGAGTAGCTGGGTTTCCACTGGGAGAGCACGAGTCAGCATCATGCTGGGCTCAAGCATGGATATGCACTGCTGCTGCCAGAGCATCATAATTTGCAAGCATTTATCGAGTACCCTTCATCTAATTTTCATCCTGCGGAAACTAGAAATTGCTACACTTGCACACAATAAACTTCTGGCAGTTAGCCTTCTAAACTGGGACACTACCATTTGGGAGGGAAAAGACCTTTCTGGTGGTTAAAGATGGGGCTTCCAGTTACTGCATTTGTTTTAATACAGTCTATTCCATAGAGCCATCGATGGAGACTCATTATATAACCTTTCGTGGAAAGCTTCTGACTTCTTTCTCAATGCACAGGTGGGATGTAAAGGGACATCCCCATCATAAGGCACTTGCCCCAGGCTAGGAACTTAATTCTCCCACTGTCGACATGTGGCTCTTTAGATTTCATGCTGTAAGTCTCCAGAGGTTTCTCAGGTCTTGCCCTGCAGAAGCAGAAGTCATGGGAAGGAGCTGTCGCGTAGTTCTTTTTTTTTGGAGCTTGGGTGCTGAAGATCAGTTCCTCCAACTTTTTGGTTTTTTAATGTTTCACTCCAACTGCAAATTTCACCCCATTTCTAGTGTACTCTCCTTGAGAGAAGTGGAGTTTCAGATGGGAGCAACTTCACTTGAAGCCCATATTAAATATGGGAAACACATTTTCTGCATCATAAGATGGGGACATTTTTATGATACCAGTACTCTTAGGAAGTGGACTGTTCAGAAAAATGATTTGGATTGAAGAGGGCACACATATAGGTGGAAGAGTTGGTTGTGAAACAAGGGGAAGAATTAACTGGTTTCTCCACTGAAGGAGGGAGGAAAAAAATAAAAGGAAAGAATATGGGTATATCCAGCAAGACAGACAAATGTATGCTCTCCAAGCACTCTCTCTCTCACCTATCCCAGTTCTTTCATGTTACAAAATTCACAAAATGGCTGTGTGTACATGAATTTTGGTGGAAACAGTGAAGAAACTGAGCTTCATGCTGACATTGACACAGAGTAGGACAGCTCTAAGGTAGCCTATGTGAATGAGCAATGGAGAAAGAGGGAAAAACATAAGGAGTTAACCCCAAAAAATTGGCCATGGGTGGTGGCTCATGCCTGTAATCCCAGCACTTTGGGAGGCCAAGGAGGGTGAATCACTTGAGGTCAGGACTTCAAAACCAGCCTGGCTAACATGGTAAAACTCCTGTCTCTACTAAAATACAAAGATTAGCTGGGCATGGTGATGGGTGCCTGTAATCCCAGCTACTAGGGAGGCTGGGGAAGGAGAATTGCTTGAACCCAAGAAGCGGAAGTTGCAGTGAGCCAAGATCGCGCCACTGCACTCCAGCTTGGATGACAGAGTGAGACTCCATCTCAAACAAACAAACAAACAAACAAAAAACCTCCCCCAAATTATGGAGAGGGCTCCAGACTTTCTCAAGATTGTGCAGTTAGCTGTTGTTTAAAGTTAACTAAATCCCGATCTGATGTTTATTCTCTTATTTTTAGCTATTGTTTAAAGTTAACTAAATCCCGATCTGATGTTTATTCTCTTATTTTTATTTTTAATTTAATAAGTGCTTCACGTGACTTTTGAGTTATAGCTGACTGCCCTAGCTCACATTTTAGTGCCAGAGTAAGTATCAAATGGTAGATTTATTTCTCTTTTTTATAAAAGAAAATCAATAACCAGTTTGCAATGCCTTTGGTAGAAATTCAATGACTAACATAAGGTTTTACTTTATCAAGAAGCTGGGATATTGTCAACAGCTATCCAAGTAACTGATTCAAAATCCAATTGTGAAAACATTTACTGGGCACTCTCTGCATGCAAAGCAGTGAGAAGGTGCTGGGAAGATTAAGAAAAATCAGGTGCAGTCTCCCTCCTTAGGAGAAATGGCACAAAATAGCATGGTCATGGAACCAGAGCAGTGATTCTGACATGCATTTCAGAGACAAACATGGTGGAGGCCATGTGACTTAATCAGCAGGATGGAACTAAAATAGGGCTGCCTAGGATTATACAAACTATGCTGTTGCTGCTGGAGATTCCCAAACTGTGGCCTACCAATGTCATGGCAGGTGGGGGATAAGTGGACGATGAATCCCTTCAGTGCACCATTCAAGGGCTTTCAGCCTGAAATAAGCTAATACTATGAGCAGAATGCCCAGGAAGGGTTTATGAAGGGTATACCATACTCCCAAGATCAAAATCACCTCTTGAGGAATCCCTCCCAAAGGACTCACAGTCATCTTCCAAAAGGCTTTTAGAAAAAACTAAAGGATATGTTTTTCCAAGAGCCTGATGTCTTAGTGGTCTGGAAGACATCCTGGGAATTGTCTGGAAAGGAGGCATTGGACCTCTAGCTGTGATGAGATATAGGAATAAGGAGTGGTGGGCTAAGTGTGCATCTAGTATGCAAAATAGAGAGAACAGTAAGTGTGATGAGAATAAGAAGGTAGTTGCCCAAAAGCAAATTTAATTCTCTCCTACTCCTACTGGAGAGAAGAACAAGGGATTTGGAGGAAACACAGCAATGCAGCATCCACAGGCACATAGTATATGCTCAATAAATATTTTTTTTCAAATAATATACAAATATAGAAATAAGGTCTACAAACATCACTTGAGAAGCACAGGATGTGATTCACTCTTCAGAGCCAAATTTTATTTGTGGTATCACTTTAAAAGGCAGCAGCAGTAGTGCTACTGAGACCATTTCCGCTGGGAGAGAAGTTCTGAGGACTCTGAAAACTTATAGGAAGAGGCAGGCAAGACCAGAGATAGTGATAAGTAAAGTGATTAACTGAGGAGCTGTGTGGGGGGAAAAGGATGTCTCAACTTAGCCAAGGTTCAGAGATAACAGAAGCTTTTCACCAAATGAAAGGTGACTGAGTGACCAACTGTCACTGACTTCAGGAATAACTTGCAGACAGAACAGGTAGACTCAGACAGCATTCTCAGGTGAAGACCTCAAGGGAATTCAGCTAGTTGAGGCAGCCCCAAAACCTGGTGGGAATCCAGCTCATTTCTGGGAAACCTGAACAAGAACGGATTCATAGATCTCAAAATTGTACAAAGAGAAATTTACCAATAAACACAGGAAAAAATAAAATTTCCTGGAAATATCAGCTACCAACAAATATATTTTCAGGTGTGCTTCAGGATTAAGGTTTATAAAAGTGTGTTAAGAAATGAAAATATTGTTTGTGTGGGTGGTGGTTGTGTTCCTGGGGCAAAAAAAAGAGAGAGAGAGAGAGAATTGCAACTCCAACTCTTCTTTTTATATATGAGAAAACTGAAACTTGGAATGATAAAGTGACTCACTCAAAGTCTCCACACCTACTTGGTAGCAAGTCTTTATTCATAGCTGCATATAATATATCACCACCTGACATATTATATATTCTTCTATTTGAATATTCTTTCCATTAAAATGGGACTTTATTTGCTCACAATAATATTCCCAGAAGCTAGAACAGTGCCCGGCACTAAGGAAATACTCAGTAAACATGTGCTGAATGAGACAATGATTTAAATCTTTAGACTCATATTCCAATGCCATTTAGATTACACCATCCTGTGAGTTTGTGTCCTTTGCAGGGACATGGATGAAGCTGGAAACCATCATTCTCAGCAAACTAACACAAGAACAGGAAACCAAACACCACATATTCTCACTCATAAGTGGGAGTTGAACAATGAGGACACATGGACACAAGGAAGGGAATATCACAACACGGGGCCTGTCAGGGGGTTGGGGGCTAGGAGAAGGACAGCATTAGGAGAAATACCTAATGTAGATAACGGGTTGATGGGTGCAGCAAACCACCATGGCACGTGTATACCTATGTAACAAACCTGCATGTTCTGCACATGTATCCCAGAACTTAAAGTATATTAAAAAAAAGATTACACCATCCTGTTCTCTAAGTATAGGGGAACTGGCAGCACTCAAATCAACACATATTTACCAGGTACACATTACATGCCTGGCACTGTACTTGTGGGAAGAAGAGATGTATTAGTGAGGACTCTTTCAGAGCAAAATGCAAAACTCAACTGAAACTAGCTTAAACCTAAAAAGGTGGAGGGGGAATTTGTTGGTTTATGTGACTGAAAAGTTCTAGAGTAATACTTTCAGAAATGGCTTGAACTAGAGCACAAACAGAGTTATCCAGGCTTTCTTTCTTACTCACGGCTCTGCTTTTCCATGCATTGGCTTCACTCTTGGTCATGATTTCTCCAGAAAATAACCTTGGTGCTTCAGGAAAGAAATTTCCTTTATCCTAACAATTCAAGCAAAACTCTAGGTAGGGCTCTTATTGGTCCAGCTTGGATCATGTACCCATTCACAAATGAGTTACACTGATGCAGTATTTTGCTTAACCAGAGTGGATCAAGCGTCCACCCATGGAACCAGAGATGAAGTCAGCCCCTTCTAAACTACATTGAACTGGACTAAGTGTGATCCTCTAAAAGAAAATTGCAATACCCCATCCAAAAGAAGAGATTTGCTGTAAAGGTTAAGATCATACACATCCTCCTGCACCCTGCAAAGAGGGTATGGGGGTCAAAGCATTTAAATGAGTCTCTAAGTCTCAGAAGGTTAAAACTTTCTTGGGGGAAAAACATAAATCAATAAGTAATATAAAATAGCACTTCATTAAGATAAAATATGAGCTCCTATTTATCATGGGCTTATTACACTGTATAAAACCATAGCAATAATTATAAAAGCTCAACATCCTTTTAATATACAATGTTGTGCTCTGTACATGGACACCTCTACACAACCTGTGATTGATATTTCTATATCTGATCCTTGTAAGCTATTAATATGGCACGGCCAGGTAGCCAACAGTTCAGGTTCGGTCTTACTGTTATCTTTTTAGAGCAGTGTTCATGCAATTGATGGCCATTTTATTGTTTTCTGCTTTTAAAAAATAAAAGTAAAGAAGAAGAAAAAGATAGTACATGAAATGATTATATAACTATATAATAATAATTATCTTAAATTTCATGAAGCTCAAGCATGGGCGTCACTAGGTGAGGGAAAATTAGCGAGCCTCCCTCCTCAGTTGAATGCTCTTTGGACCACAGTTGACTAGGAGTTCAAATATAAAGGAAGACAATTAAAGAATAGATACTGGACTCAGGAAATGTAATTTTGTCAGCTTTCATAATAAGTCTACCTATTGCACGTATTTCTCTCACATACCTTTCGGGACTCGGTTGTCTATGAATGTGGAGACCTGCCTATCTGTGCATCAGGGCATGAGAGCTATCTAGATCTGTGTTGATTAAACTTTTGTTATTCACAATGTTTGCTCTATTTTCCTAACTCCTCTCCTATCACTTAGCATTTCCCCTTAATTCCCCTTTTTACTTAAGTACATTTATTTTTAAAGGAAGATCTGTGTCACAAACATAAATGGAACGCTGGTATCTCTGTCATAAATCAAAAGCATCTGAAAAATAAAACAATCTTATTAAATTCCAGATAGATACTGCTGCCAAGCCTCTAAGCCCAAGGCCTGCTCTCTCTTTATTAAGAAAAAATGATTAGCAAGCATCAGAGAGTTAGTAAAGACATATTAGCACCAAACTTGAACTTTTTCCCTTGCCTTGAAGATAAGAATTGAAAGAGAATCGAAAGGCAGTGACTTCATCACGGTAAGACATTGTTTAATCCCTTGTTCATGTGCTACCTACAGAGATCCCAGACCACCACCCATGATCCCAGGCTGGAGGAAGCAGCAGGCTAGCGGAATTCAGGACCAATGAGCCAGGAAAGAGGTACTGGTGAAGACTTCCTGGAGGCAGTGACACTTGAGCTTGTCCTTACAGGGTTGGAATGGTTTTGACTCTCTTCTGTGGGAAATGCCACTTGGTAAGGATGCAGGCAGGAACGGGCATGCAGTTAGTTCTGCCTGAAGGACCAGTGGTGCCCAGTCCTGTCGGAGCGTCCTCAGAGCCAGGGTATTCATGCAGTGTAGTGGGGAGGAGCAGGGAGCCTCCATTCCGTTGGCTCTTCAATCTTTTATTTTAATCAGTTGCTTCTCACTCCAGTTAACGTTCCTCAGCACAGATCTTTGTCACTAATGGTATGATTCTCACCTAGGACCCAATGCAGAGCTCACATCCCACCCTCCTTCCCCCATGACAAAGCACTGGCAAACCCTGCCAAAGAAGAAGCTTGGCTGCAAAGCAGTCTGGAACTGGACCCGGGATAGATTCACCAGGAGCTCACCACCACAGGGAATGCTGCACTTTGACTGGACAGAATGCATCCTCCATGCCCACAGAGCATGTGCCCAGGATGAATCTCACTGTATCCCAGTTCCTCATGCTTGGCCCCAAACCTCTTTTTCACAGTAATAAAGAAAACACACTTTACAAAAAGGCAGTTCATCTATGAACATATTGGCTAGGATAACACATCTTAGAGCTAAATGTGTCACTGTAAATGGACTCATTTTATATCTCCACATACTGTAGATGTTTAAAAAAAGGTACATGCACAGAAACTATGGGAACTGAACTGGAGTATGAGCCAATTACCCTAGACTTTGCTGTAATCTGACTTTTGTGTAGCACATTTTCTTTAGCATTTTTCTTAATGGGGGATGGGGAGTGGAGGCAAAGGAGACAAACTGACAGCAGAGCATTTTATTTAGACAAAAGAAATATATTCAGCCTGTCTTAAATTATTTGTCATTATAATGACGTTTTCTAATTTAAAAGTATTTTGCTTAATAATATATAATTGAATATTATATGCAATTAATCATATCATCATAGCTCTTTAAAGATTTATCTCTCAATATCTAATTAATTACGAGGTCTTGTTTCTTCCATCTTCAAAATACACCTGGAATTTTTACTTATTCCTATCTCTACTGTCTTAAGCCTAGTCCAAGTCAATGTCCTCTCTTATTAGAAAACTGTGGAAACCTCCTCCTTGGTATCCTGCTTTGCATTCTTGTCCTTAAATAATCTATTCTTCAAATAGCAGTCAGAGGACTTTTCTAATCCTATTGTTCTCACTCTTAAATCTCTCAGAGCCTCCCCACCGAACTCAAGGTAGAGCCCAATTTCCTTCTAGAATCCTATAAGGCCCCTATCCAGCTTCATCTCTCACCACACACCCTTCCTTGCTCATACTCTGCTGATCTTGAGCTCTGGCCTGGAGACAAGCCTTCTTGTGTAGTGGTTAGAGATCCTGGCTCCCCACCTGATTAGCTATATGATGTTGGATGAGTTACTTAACCATTAGACTTGCCTCATTGCCAAGGCAGGGGCAACAATGATCCTTATCTCCTAAGCTCATTTTAGAAATATATGGGTTAAAATAACTTCAACAGGTTTGCACTAGCCAGAGGCTGGAGGGCATTTTAAGATTTTGTTCTCTCTGGGAAAAAGGGACCTTCTTTCCACATCTCCTTTGTACCTTGGATAGATTCACCAGGAGCTCATCATCACAGTGAATGCTGCACTTTGACCAGACAGAATGCATCCTGAGTGCCCACAGAGAATGTGCCTGTGATGAGTCTCACTGTCAGAACACACCAGTGCAAACCTTACTTACCCATCAGGTCCTATCTGTTATGGGCTTCATTGTGTTCCCCCCAAAGTTTGTACACTGAAGCCCTAAACCCCAGTAGTTTAGAATGAAACTGTATTTGAAAACAAGGTCTTTAAAAGGTGATTAAGTTAAAATGAAGCCACTGGTATGGTTCCTTACTCAATCTTACTGCTGTTCATCCAAGAAGAGGAAATTTGGACATACAAAGAGATGCCCAGGGATGCAGGCACGCACGTGCATGCGCGCGCGCGCGCACACACACACACACACACACACACACACACAGAAAAGCCCATGTGAGTACAGAGTGAGAAGACAGATATCTGCAAACCAAAGAGAGAGTCCTCAGGAAAAAGAAAAAAAAAAACCTGCTGACAGCTTGATCTTGGACTTCTAGCCCCTACAAATGTGAGAAAATAAATTTCTAAATTTCTGTTGTTTAAGGCACCCAGACTGTCATATTTTGTTATGGCAACCCTAGCAAACTAACATAGAGTTGCAGATTTTGAACTTACCAAGCCTCCACAATTGTATGAGCCAATTCCTTTAAATATCTATTATCTAGCTCGCTCGCTCTATCTATCTATCTATCTATCTATCTATCTATCTATCTATCTATCTATCTCATCTTATTGGTTCTGTTTCTCTAGCTAACCCTAACAAATATACTGTCCTAAGAGTAATTGCCTTAGGAGGGTGCCCTTGCCTGAACATGAAAATGGATTCTGCCATCGTGGATCCTTGGGATGTCTGCATGTTTCCTTCCAGCACCTGCAGGAACAAATGGTTACATTTATGATTATGTATTCACCATCCATCCATCCATCACACAGTGATGTCCTAGAGTAAATGGCCATGTCTATTGTTTACTGCCACACCCCAAGGACCTATCATGTTAAATTAGTGTTGGATGAATAGACATGGAAGATCCTGTGAAGTCTCAATTTCATATTATCTGTTTGCTCTTATAACTCACAAGAAAATTAAAAGACCACATCTTTTTGTAGAGCTGATTGATATATTCACCAATACGATTAAGGTATTCATCACCCGTCAGTCTCTTATTTTAAACCAATATTTTACTGGGTTTATGTATTCAGTGCGAGAAAAACTTTACTCCAAATCCCTTATTATTATGGCTCCTTGTACCTTAAAGTCATACAGGTGCACTCAATATAAACGTGAGTGGGCGAGGGATGGAGCAGCTGTGATTGACAACAGTGACAATAGACTGTGGAGCAAGAAGTGACAGAAGTTTGCTGACTGGATTCTATATTTAATATTTCCAAGCAAATTAATTCTGTCACCTTTGTGAGACTTAGCTATGCTTCAGGGCATGACATTTTAGCCATGGTTTTTTTCTTCAGTTTTTTTGCATCTTGGATTGCAAACTTCTGGCTCTTAAATAAAAATAATGCTACATTGTTTATTTGCAAAGTAACCACATGGGACAGGGGAAAATGCACCAGAGGGGTAACCAATAGAGTGATCCAACTGGCGCAAATTGTGTGCTTTTCTTAGATACCTTCCTTCTCATTACCTCTATCCTCAACTCTCTGTCTGCTACAATAAGGGGATGATTTAGATTTTTCTAAAGACTCCCTCCAACAATGGGAGCTTATGACTGAACACTTGACTCACCTGGCAGGTAAGAAGACCAGTGTCTTCCGTGCTGTGTCTCTCAGGATTTGTTTCAGAAGTATTCTCTACCCCGTTTTCTCTCTCTCTCTCTCTCTCTCTCTGTCTCTCTCTCTTTCTCTGTCTCTCTCTCTCTCTTTCTCTCTCCCTCTCTCTCTCTCTCTCACACACACACACACAAACACACACAATTATTAAGGTTTTATTATATTCCTGGTACTGTGATAGATGTTGGGGAAATATAAGAATAAATAAGAGTTGTCTGTCCTCCTGGAAATGAGAGGTAATGGGCACTGGCATTATTAGGTGATGAGTGCTCTGATAATAGAAGCTCTGGGTCCCCCTGAGTTTACATCATGAGCCCCTCACATAGCACTGTGTGGAGAGAAATCAGGGAAAGCTTCCTGGAGGGAGTGGAGCCTAAACTAACACTTCGAGGATGAGTGAGGTTCACCAGGTGAAGGTGTTGGAGTGTGTGTGTGTGAGTGTCCGCATGATGATCAGGTGTAAAGGACACATTCCAGGCAAAAGATTCCAGCCACACTGAGCTCTTCCCTGCTCCCTGATGCTTACCTTCTTGGTCACTTTAATCATTGGTTCCATCTGGAAACTCTGTCTGTCATCTCTAATGATTCATAGTCCACCCATCCTTCAAGGCCTGGGTAAAATACCGTCCCTTCCAGGAAGTCTTCTCTGATTACTGGAACATCCAGAGCCAGCCTACGTGGTCCTCCCATCACATCAGTGATGAGTCACAATAGGCAAGCCACGTGAAACAGGGCCCCACAGGATACAAACATATATTCAATAAAATAACAATAATCAAAAAAAGTCTGAAAATAATTTCTATTATTAGTACATACTCTTAGGAAAATGAAGAAAACCATACAGACTTCACAAGAATTGTTTTTAATAAATTCTATATTCTTATATTTCTCATATTTAATACCAAACAGTTTCTAACCAAAACATAACCCACTTAGCTCTTTTTTGCTCTCTCTGCTTCAGTGAGTCATTCTCTCTTTTTTTCAGAATAATCATGGAGGGGTGCTAATATGCATGCATTTCCCCTTCACATTTGCATGGAAATTTGTGCTATCAATATCTTACCTGACTCACCAGGCCAGTGATTCTTGTTTAAGGCAGAGAGGTTCCCAGTTGGAACTTTTTAAACTTCTACCAAGGAAGTTCTCAAAGAACATAAAAAGATTCTCTCTCAGTGAAGAAAAAACAATGCATTCTCTCTTCACCTCCAATTTTTTTTCTTTATGTACTTAATTCTTTAGCATTTGTTGAATATGAACTATGACAAAGTATAGGAAGAAGCCTTCCTACTCAAGTTCAGAGACCTTATGGTTTTGTGAAAATATAAAATTAAGTTTCAGAGGAGGTTACCTTAGGGAAGGCCTTCACTGGAGCTTTTTATTTTTTATTTTTTATTGTTTTATCTTTTCTTCTGAGACATGATCTCACTCCACCATCCAGGCTAAAGTGTAGTAGCATGATCATGGCTCACTTCATCCTCAACCTCCAGGGCTCAAGTGATCCTCCCACCTCAGCCTCCCAGGTAGCTGTGACTACAGGCACATGCCACCATGCCTGACTAATTTGTTTTTTGTTTTTTGTGTTTTTTTGTTTGTTTGTTTTAGAGATGATGTCCCACTACATTAGCCAGCCTGGTCTCAAACTCCTGGACTCGGTGCATCTTAATCTTAATCTTAAGAGTGTGCTACAGAATTGCTTAGAAAAAAAAAAGGAGTTAATGAGGCTGAAGTCTATATGAAGTTTAACTAGGTTTGCAGAAGGGGAAGTCTTTTTTTTTTTTCAGCATTGGTCTGTGTCTTTGGGTACTGCCAGACATATTGCAAATTCAGGCCACTGATCACAAGAAAAATCAGAAAAGAATTATTAATGCCTTAGAAAACCATTTTAAGACATTCCCACCTCAGTGAAACAGCCCAGCAAGAGCCTTGTGGTGGCAGGTCAACAGATCATCTTTGTACACAAAGCAGAGCGTTTTTCTGATGCAGAATCTCAGAACTCCCCAGAAGAGGCTAAACATCAGGCCTATGAATAAAGCTGCTACATAAACACAGGAAAAGCTACTGACGCATAGACCCATAGTTTAAGAAGGAGCTAAAGGTATTTCCTCGAAAATTAAGCAAGCAATAAATCTTCTTATTCACAAGAATGACCCATGTTCCCTCACCTTTGATAACAATGCAATTTTACTCATCCAGCAGCAAAAGAATTATCAAAACTTATGCTAGAAATATTATAAAGAGCTGGCCTGCCTGTTTCAAAATTCCTCCCAAGAGGAATCTACACAGCAATTCAGCATAAGCTATGAATGTTATTGGATTAATTAGAACACTTCAGAAAAATTTCAAGTGGGGAATTATAAAAATTCTGATGGAAATTATTCCCAGGAATGCTCTTAATATAGAAAAGTTACCGTATGAGGATTGAGATGGGGTGATAATTCATTAATGGCCTGAAAGTGTTCATGGTAAATTGGTACATAGCTATAAACACACATAATCTATTCATTATTTCATTCTCAATACCTATGTAGAGTCTAATATGAATTGACAGTGTTTCGGTGCAAGGAACATGGTGGTGAACAAGCAGATAAAATCCTATCTTATGGACATACATTATAGGAAGAGACAGGAAACGTTCTCCTCTATAATGTATGGTCAAGATGCTAATAAAAGGTATAGGGAAGAAATGAAGCAGTATGAGAGAAAGGGAGGAAAGAGAGTTAGGATAGGATGGTTATCTTAGGATACTTCAAAAGGCTTTCTAAGGAAGTTTCATTTTAACAGAGGCCTGAATAATTGAAAGAACACGTCATGAGAGGTCTGGAGAAAATATCCCATATAAATGAAAGGAATGGGAATGAGCTTAGAATTCTGGGGTAATATCACAGAAATAGATGGTTAAACAGGCACTGTGGAGGAAAATGACCCTTGGAAGGGGGAGAAGAAAGAATGTGAGATGTCAACAGGTTGGATGGATCATTCTTGTAGATACAGAATATTCCCCAATTAATAAACATGTGACTATGTGAGAGACCTATTGAGCTGTTTAAACTGTCAAAAAATGGGATGTGGAGTGGCTCGAACATTAATAGATGACTGTATCAAAGAGAAGTTGTGCTGACAGCATGCATCTCAAAGGAAATGGTATTTAGGGAAGAAGAAAGGGTCTAGAAAAAGCAATGAGAAAAAAAGAGAGAAAATGTTCTATCTCTAGGCTCTGGTCCAAGATTAAAAAATAAGAAAAGTCATCACTTGATAAGCAGACCAATGTGGAAAGCAGTTTGGAGATGTCTCAAAGAACTTAAAGCAGAACTACCATTCAACACAGCAATTCATTACTAGGTATGTATCCAAAAGAAAAGAAATCATTCTATCAAAGAGACACATGCACTTGTATGTTTATTGCAGCACTATTTGCAATAGTAAAGTGATGAAATCAGCCCAGGTGTCCATCAACGGTGGTCTGGATAAAGAAAATGTGGTACATATACACCATGGAATATTATGTAGCCACAAAAAATAATAAAATCATGTTGACTGCAGCAATGTAGATACAGCTGGAGGCCATTACCCTAAGTGAATTAATGCAGGAACAGAAAACCAGATACCACATGTCCCCACTTATAAGTGGGAGCTAAGCATTAGGTACACATGGACATAAAGATGAGAACAACATATGCTGGAAACTACTAGAGGGGAAGGGGGGAGGGGAGAAAGGGTTAAAAAACTACTGATTGGGTACTATGCTCACTACCTGGGTGAAAAGATCATTCATACCCAAAATATGCCCATGTAAGAAACCTGCACTTGTATCCCCAGAATCTAAAATAAAAGTTGAAATTATAAAAGAAAAAAGAAAGAAAGCACCACAAGCTGAGGTGGGAGAAAACTTTGAGAGGTGATGGATCGGTCTATGGCTTTAAAGGTGGTAATGGATTTGATATGGTTTGGCTGTGCCCCCACCCAAATCTCACCTTGAATTATAGCTCTCATAATCCCCACATGTCATGGAAGGGACCCTGTGGGAGGTAATTGAATCATGGGGGTGGGTTTTTCCTGTGCTGTTCTCATGATAGTGAATAAGTCTCATGAGATCTGATGATTTTATAAAAGGGCAGCTCCCCTGCACATGCTCTCTTGCCTGCCGCCATGAAGACTTGCCTTTGCTCCTCCTTTGCTTTTTGCCATGATTGTGAGGCCTCCCCAGCCGTGTGGAACTGTGAGTCCATTAAACCTCTTTTTCTTTGTAAATTACACAGTCTTGGGTATGTCTTTATTAGCAGCACGAGAACAGACTAATACAGGTTTCATAGGTGTATAATTATCCCCAAACTGGCTATGGTGTATACATTAAATATAGGGAGTTTTATATGTCAAATAAGAGTTCCACAGGCTACAAATGTGTCAGAATTCCATAACCTTACATCTATGATCAAGGAAAAGATTGGAGTTGATAATTATAAAGAGCCACCAGGATGATACACTCAAGAGATGAAGCATTCCAATGTCTTGCCTTTTCCTCCTTGACCCTTAGCACAGAATTTAATTGATATCCAGGTTTATTAGTTACTGTAATACAAATTTTAGAGGTGGACATGTTACCTAAATGGATATTGAGATTTCAGATTGCAGCTGCACTTTCAACTGATAGAAATGTTAGAAGCTGAAAGATAAAACTGACTTCTCACACCCAACAGTGCCTGTCAACTTGACCAAATGTCTTATACTGCAGTACCAAGGGCACATCACCCACATGCACTGACTTTTCTATTTTGGTGAACAGAAGGGGAAGCAGCACTATCAGATAAGATAACATGATGAATGTTCCTGGACTGCACATGTACTTTGTAAGTCCTGGATCTCTAAAAGTTCCTTGACTTAGCTGAAGACCCAGAAATTGGATGGAACTCGAGTTGAGTATGTGATGTGAAATGAATCAAGCTACCCCCTCCTTCAGTGCCTCAAACACATTGTTCAAACCAATCAGCTTAAATTGCAAAGCGAGTTGTCTCATCCAAGCTCACAAGGTTCATGCTTCTCCTTTAAATTTCAAAGACAGTTATTGACAGTGTGTGAAGAGCCCGGGTCCTTATCAACAATTGTTTCATTAAGAAATTTCATCCCTTGCAAAGGGGTGGACTGAACATCTGCTGCAGTTAGGAAAATATGGACAAAGAGTGGAACAAACAGAAGGAAAAGAAAATAGAAAGGTGCAAACCTAATCAGTACACCTGTGAAGTAATGAGGAAAGGGAGAGAAAGCATAATGAGGAGACTCTAGAAGTCACTCTACAAGGCAGACAGTGCCTTCTCACAATTCAAGTAATGATTCACTCCATGTTGGATATTTTTGTGCCTATATTGAATTATGCAGCTTAGTTCTGAGCACCACTAAAAAGGATTCATTCATTAGCAAAGAGCTTCATACACATGGATCCTGAACCAGATACGAGGCTTATTCAGCTTTCTCCTTGTGCTTATTGAAATCTATTACTTCACTATCCAAAAGAAATGATAAAATGACCAATGTAACTTCATAGTTAGTATGAGGATAGTTTTCTAGGTTCACTGTAATTAGTTTTTATACTGATATGTGCTGTGATATGCTCATTTCTGGTTCTCCTGAAACAATATAAATACATGTAGGATGTAATGCCTTTTTAGATGACATATCACCATTCCTTTTGCCCACTCATGTGTCCTCACCACCAAGAAAGGCTTTCTCAAGACTTTCTGGAAAGGACCGTATAAACAGAGACCATGGACATCTCAGCAGGAACCTGGGTAAAGAAAAGACCCCAGGAGTTTCCATGATGTAAATCATCATGGAAAATATCTTATGAATGCCTCATAAGACCTTTTGGCCTTGGTAGAACTCTTGGGAGCTGGGGGACATTTCATGATGGACCCTCACTCCATATTCAGTGATTGAGTTTCCTGTTCACTGGCAAATCATGTTCACTTATTGAAAAAAAAGAAATGTATCCTTTGAGTGTGTGTTCTGAGATCTATGCTTAATAAACATGTCAGATTCTTGTAAATCTGTAATGCACACACACACCCCTATATTTGTGTTCTATTTTAGAAGAATATACTGGAACCACACATACCAACCTATTAACAGAGGCTACATTAAAGAACTGAGAGAGAGTATGAGGCAAGAAGCAAAAAGGAGATTTTCATTTTGTTGCAATTTTTATTGTTTGAGGTAAAAGATTTTTGATAGGCAATCATTACTATTAAACTTTTTTAAAAGAGGAAAAAAACAAGAACACTTTGGATACTCATTTGCATTTATAATCCAATGGATTTTCCAACTAGCATGAATTTCTTGGCAGTTACTAGGTAGGTCGAGGTGTTAGACGACTCAGCACGTAAGTGTGGTCCAGACCACAGCCAACCATTTAAACAAGTAGGAAGTCATTCCCAACTCTAAAGAAACTGGGGCCTTTATTTCTTCCTTTCCTTTTCCCTTTTCTTCCTCCATTTCACTTCCCCCCCTCTTTTTTTTTCTTTTTTTGAGACAGAGTCTCACTCTGTCACCCAGGCTGGAGTGCAGTGGTGCGACCTCGGCTCACTGCAACCTTCACTTCCCTTTTATTCTTTCTTTCCTTAAACTAAATCAGTACAATTACGGTGGCCACTCCGGTTTCATAATCAATATTTTTGTTGAAAACATAAGTCACATTCAGAGAAACAACACAGTCATTCATTAAATATGGAGTGAGGGTCCTTCATGGGCAATGTGAAAGGCACTGGGGATACGGAGGTAAAGAGGGCTGACTCAGTCCCATGGTGTCCTTGCTCTGATGGAGACCATATTCTACTGCAAATCTAGGTTGAAAATTCTGAGTTGAGAATAGGAAACTTCTAGAATAAAGAAATGTGCTCATCATGACTTGCTCAATTTTGCCTACATGAACGAGTAAAGGAGGCACAGAGGATCCGCACCAGACACGTCAATCTGCTTGCTACTATAGGAAATTTTGCCTTTTATGCTCCAATCAATGCATACATGGCCTCTGTTCATGCCCTGGTCATGGGGCCAGCACTGGGTGGTTCCCACGAGGGGCTATCTATGGTTGGGGCAAGGCTGGCTGAAGGCCTAATATGCAGCTTGACTGAAAGAAAAGCATTCTGGGCATACAGATTCTCTCCATCAGAAATCCAAATCTAAAAAGGACTTTGCAGAAAGATAACAGGATAGAGGGAAGTAACCCTTGGGGTGGGGCTGAGTCCCACTAATAACAGAGCATTGCAGGGAAGAGCTTTAAGTCCTGTGGTAAAGAGCTCAGACTTTGGTGCTCGGTATTTTTTTCTTTTTTAATGCAATGTCCAAGTTGCCTTTGCCAGAAGACCCTGCAAGTTCTCTCTGTCCTGATGGAGTAAGAAGCACAAACTCAAAGTCAACCAAAAAGAAAATCAAATATACATATTGTATTCATATACATGTTATCTATTTATTGATGGACCCTCATTCCATATTCAGTGAGTGAATGTGTTGTTTCCTTGGATGTGACTTATGTTTTCAATTAAAATATCAGTTAGGCAACTGGAATGGCCACTATAATTGTACTGACTTATTTTAAAGAAGAAAAATTCTCATTTCCATGTATCAGAATTTAGGAAAAACATGTAATTATATCTTCTGAGGTAGATAACATCTGAAGGAAGAATAGTCCAAAAGAAGGAAAAATAGTCCAGTGATGCCAATTCACTGTTCTTCTTTAGAAACTGAAGAAAGCAATGTGTATGTAACATAATAAAGGACCCCAATTTAGTTTATATAGAACTTGAATTAATGAGAGCAGTTGTTACTTTTGTTTTATTTAAAAAGTACCTATCCAGCACTTTGGGAGGCTGAGGTGGGTGGATAGTGGATCATCCGAGGTCAAGAGTTCAAGACCAGCCTGGCCAACATGATGAAACCCTGTCTCTACTAAAAAAATAAAAAATTAGCCGGGTGTGGTGGTATGCGCCTATAATCCCAGCTACTCAGGAGGCTGAGGCAGGAGAATGGCTTGAATGGAGGAAGCTGAGGTTGTAGTGAACTAAGACCATGCCTCTCCACTCCAGCCTGGGAAACAAGAACGAAATTCCGTCTCAAAAAAAAAGAAAAGAAAAAGAAAAAAGTTACCTATCAGGTTCACCTCCTATGAGGTAGGGCTTAACAACTGTTAACATTCAGTCCTCAAAACTATACCATTCAATTGACACAGCTATTTTCTCCACTATACATATGAGAAAACAAAGGCACAGAAAGGTTACAGAATTTCCCCAGGGTCAAACAGCTAATAAGCACCAAAGTTGAGATTCAAACCTGGGTCTGAACCCATACTTTTAACCCTCACACTATGCAATGCCTTTGCTACATGTGGGACAATGTTGTATTCCTCCATATCTTCCAAGGTCAAATATAAATAATACCAACCAAAATCTGGGATCATTTTCTATGGAGGAAGGGAGGCACTGAGCAGGTTACCACAGGTTAGAGAATTTGTTCGTTCTTGTGTGAAATCTCCCATGGAATCAACACATTCTATTATTATCTGCCCAGGATGGAGCTGGATACACTTCTTACAGTAGACATGATGATATCCAAGATCCATCTCTTCTCTCAGAGTTTGGTTTTCTATTCATATTCCAAAGCTGGCATTAGCAGACTCAAGAAGGGGTCCGTTGTTCAGTTTTTAACAAGATTTCAAACTCCTACTTAAAGCGTTCAGCTTTAAATCATTTTTCTTTTATTCATTCTTCAGAGATTTCTGAGGGATTGCCAATACTTGACTCTGCTTTGACAAAGCTATCCTTGGATATCAGATTAGATAAGATGATGAATTGTACTTAAAACTCCACATAAGTTAAAAGCCCAGGAGTTTTTGCCAGAAACTTTCTCAAACACAGTTAAATCTCATAACTTGCAAAGAATGGAGGGAGTTGAGTTTGCCTATGCAATAATCCAATTCATTAATGCTGTGGCTGGGATTACTGAAACCAACAATAGGAAAATGTTCTACATTATTTCCCCCAAAGAAGCCTATACAGCTAGCAGAAATCCCCCAGGTTATGAGAGGAAAACATTTAATTCTAAATGGAAGTTAACATCGACATTATGACCAGGGATAAAATTTCTATACTTCATAGATTCTACAATGAGTATTTTCACCTTTTCACCTCCCGGAAATTGGAATGCATATCATAATCACTGTTGGCCAGGTGTCAGTCATGAGGGAGTTGTCACTGTCTGCATATGGGCATCGACATGTGCAGAATGGCTTGCAATGGCTTGCAAAAAAAAATTCTGAGACAATAGCAAATTCTCCTACAGTTCATCACCAAGGTGCTTAGTGGTAGCGAACTTGCAGACACTGACAACCCAGGTGAAACAGTATTCAAAAGTGCAGGTGTTTTAAGAATGTCCCAACAAATGAATTTCACTTTTATTTCTTTTTCTACAAAGATGTGTCTAAATAAGTTTTAACTAAATTTTAATAGGTAAAAAGTCAAGGTTTTAGGAATATCCCAACACATTTATTTCATTTATATTTCACCTTTCTAATAAAAGTGTGTCCAAATGTGTTTAAAATAAATGTTTTATGAGGCAAAAAGTAAAAGTTCTGAGTGATAAGAAAGCAGTGAGCCTATGTAATTGGCAGTCTTTTTCTTTAAGTGTCTTAATCCTACATAACATACTGGTTTCCCTTTAATCAGTGAGGTCTTAGATACAATGAAATATGATAATTATCAGGTAGTATAATACTATGTTTATGAACTCTGATTTTGATGGCAGATAAGCTGGGCACAACTTTTGAGCTCGACAACATATTCCTTCAGTTAGTTTTCTCAAATTACTCATCTCGAAGCCTCAGTTACTCATCTAGAAAATTCAGGTGCCTATTTCATAATAGTGATGACAATGAGAGAATGCATGTTGGACACTTAGCAGAGGGCCCACAAACTCTTAACATGTGAGTGGCTCTTGATTGTTCGCTGTCTTTGGCCAGAGACTCAAAAACATTTCTTTTTTTCCATCTTCCTTGTGAACATGAGGCTCTCAGAGAACTGTGGTCGATTTTCTTATCATTTCTGCAAAATCATTTTAGTGGACAGGGAGGAGAAAAATCCTCTAATAAAAAATCCTATCACTAAGTTGAGCATACATAAGCAGTACAACCCTCTCTCCTCACTCTGAAAGGTATATTTATAGCTGCAGAGGGCAGCTGAGGTCACCAGGAAGTGGATGGAAGAAGAGTCAGTTCATCATGGAGTGAACATTAACCAATTAGGAGCAAGGACCAGGAAGGAGTCAGACAGACAATTTCCCCCTCTCTTCTCCATGATGTGGTTCCTCCTTGCAGTCCTTCTAGAAAAGTCCAGAGTGCCAAGCAAATATACTGACTCTGGGGTCCTGCTGTGCTGCATCGTGGCTCATTGTGAACCAGTGGTCAATCCAGGGACTCATCTTTGTCAATGGTGCATCATTTCCTTTCCCTCCCCTTTGCCACTGGGGGCTTGCACTCCCAAATATAATATCAGCACTTCAATCCATATCCCTGCCTTCTAGACCCTTAGCACACCCCCATGACACACATGCTGGTGAGGATGTTGAGTTCATGTGAAGCCTTGGTAATTTTGGTTGGAAACATGTTTCTAGAATCAAGGCAATGTGGTTTGGTCAAATTCAGATGAGATTGTGGAGCCGCGTGTCCTAGATTCCAGCTTTGGCTCTAGACCTTATAAACCAACCCTGTGGCCTTTAATCTCTCTCATCAGTCTAATGGAAATCATATTACCTGCCTTCCTTATCTGGAAATGTCATCATCAGGATCAAGAGAGATAAGGTTTGAGAAAGTAATGTGTAAGCCATTAAGTAGTACACAGATGATCATTACTGCTGTCAAACAGGAATTTGGTGCAATGAACTCTGTTGCCCTTTTCTTTCAACACAAGTGTTAAACGTTTATAAAATTATGAATACTTTATGTACTGCATTGTATTAGTTTCTTAGGGCTTCGGTTACAAAGTACAGCACACTGGGTGGCTTGAAACAACAGGAATTTTTTATCTGATGGTTCTGTTGGCTACAAGTCCAAAATCAATGTAGTGGCAGGATCATACTTTCTCTAAAGACTAGAGTCTCCCCCTTTTCAGCTTTTAGTAACCCCAGGTGTTCCTTGGGTGTGGCAGTGTAACCAGTTCTGCCTCTGTTTTCACATGGTCATCTCCCTGAGCATCTCTGTGTCACCAAGTCTCAATCTAAGGACACTTCTCCTTGGATTTAGGGCCACCCTAATCCAGTATGACCTAATCGTAACTGGATTATAGCAGCAAAGGCCTCATTTCTAAATAAGGTCACATTCACAGGTAACTGGGTTTAGGTCTTCAACATATGGATCTATGAAGGTAACATCATGAAGAGAAGCTCAATTCTTTTTAACAAGCAAAATAATCTCGCTCTTAGAAATTTCTCATCATCCATGCTAAAACTGCCATGTTTTTAGTTCAAAATCTCCTGAGCCAAATATATCAAAACTTAGCTCTATAACAGTCATTTAAGTCTGTGCCATCCTTTAAAGACTTTTCAACATTCCAATAACCAAATCATCTTGGGTAAAAGGAAAAGAGGAAAAAACGGAGAAAGGAATTCACATTCTCTTTTACATTTACAGTCTGTTTCATCATCCAAGAGTGCAATAATCGTTTTATTTAATCATCACAAACAACCTATAAACATTGTTTTTGTTTGTTTTATAGATGAGCAAACTGAAGCTCAAATAGTAAAGGGTCATGCCTAAAGACTCAGTGTAAATGGGAGAACTTTGGACTCTAATGCTCATGTTTTGAATCAAAACACCAAGATGGCTCTTCTTATTTTCAATTTAATTCTCAAGTAAACGCTGTGTGTAAAAACTATCCCATCATTTTAGCAACTCAACATCAAAGATATAATCTGATCAATGAAGGATGATCCTCCAATCTCTTCACACTCTAGTGCCCAAGTTTTTTGGTTGAGGAATCTCTCACTTAGGAATCCTCCTATACACTGAATCTGAATGGCCCCAAGTGCTGGGTTATAGCTACCTTGCACCTCAGTCCTTGGTCATTCATTTATTCATCCATTTAGTGAATATTGTTGGACATCTATGTGCTATGTATAGGGTTCCAATAATGACTAAAACAAGCCCTTATGGAGCTTACAGTTTCTTGGTGGCTAAAGCATTGGCCCTGCAGGTCAAATCAGCATTTCACTTTCAATGCTAAGGATGGAAATGACTTTGGTCAAATCAACCTAAAACTGAAAAGCCAAGAAGGAAAAAACGATGTTTATATAGTTGATGTGAATCAGTTCAATCAATTCCTACAGGTCATAGACTTCTCCTTGTCTCAGAGCCCAGTAAATATTACTGGAGAGAGAGAGAGAGAGAGAGAGAGAGAGAGAGAATGAAGAAACTGCCAAAAAATGAACAAAAGAGGGAATGAAAGGAATGTCCATCTATGCAAGCAACTCTTGGTTGCAATATTACCTTTTTCCATATCACAGAGGATGTTTGAAGAAAAATATTACTTCTAAGTGCATAAGCACTGACCTGCTTTAATAATTCAGATCAGAGTACAGGTTCTAAGATCTTCCAGAATGTTGCATTAAAATCTAAGATACACAAGGCAGGAAAAGGTATAGTCAAATTCGAGGGCACAAAAGTCAGCCACCATGGGTGGGCTGGAAAGGGGTGAGGGGAGTTCTCCCTGCAAAGTGCCAGGGAGAAGGTTTTGCTGATGCCAGAGAACAATGGAGACAGGGAAGAAGTAGGGAGAGTCAGAGGCACCTCAGATTAGTTTGTTTTTCCTTCCTATAGATTTCTATGTGTTTGAAATCTTTGAGACCTTTTTTCCCCTTTGTCTTCTGAAACACATGAAAATGTTCAGTGTAATGCATTTGTCATCAAGGCAGATAAAGCACATCTGCAGTCAGCCAAGAATAATGTAGCAATGGCCCAATTGTGTCTGGGTCTGCATTTGACTAGCTGTATGCAGTTCTCCAACCTGGACAAGGTCAGAATGAGTTCCTATCACCAGGCTTTATCAAGTAGCCATGAGTCTGGACAAAAGCAAATCATGCGTGTTCACTGCATCATTGTTTGCAATGCTGAAGACTGGGAGTGGCCCAAATATTACTGGAAGGGGAATTGATACTTACACTATGGTGAATTCAAATAATGCAGCTCCATGCAAAGCGTTCAGGCAAAACAGCTAGATCCATATGGAGTAACATGGCTAAATTGTACACATTTAGTGACACATGTAACTGTAATATAATTATTTATGTGTGTTTTATTTATAAATTATATACATGTTCAATCATACTAGTATATTTTATACCTTCTAAAGTATATACTAGATGAAAATAAAAAAGAATGAGATGAAAAATAAAAATGAAAATATTTTTTTGTTGACCCCAGTGGATTATGTTGCAGACATAAAATTTGAAGACCATAGCTCTCATATATAGTGTTAACTGAAAGGGACACAGTATCTAGCATTTCCTCTAGCAGAGGCATTGGCAAACGTTTTCTATGAAGGGCCAAATAGTAAATATTTTCAGCTTTTGGGCCAGACAGTCTCTGTCACAACTGAAAATACTCAACTCTGCCCTGGTAGTGTGAAAGTGGCTGTGGCAATATGTAAAGAAATGCACATGGCTGAGTTCCAATAAAACTTTGTTTACAAAAAGGACTGCCTTTAGAATTTCACCTGTGGGTCATAGTTTTTTGACCACTGCTCTGGTAAAATATCATTTGTATAAAAGCCAAAAAACACACGCAACTTACTTGAAGTTTTCACAACTGTATAAATGTTTAACACTGAACTTGTATTGACAGAAAAGGGGAACAGAGTTCATTGCATCAAATTCCTGTTTGACAGCAGTAATGGTCATCTGTGTACTACTTAATGGCTTACACATTACTTTCTCAAACCTTATCTCTCTTGATCCTGATGATGACATTTCCAGATAAGGAAGGCAGGTAATATGATTTCCATTAGACTGATGAGAGAGATAAAAGGCCACAGGGTTGGTTTATAAGGTCTAGAGCCAAAGCTGGAATCTAGGACACGCGGCTCCACAATCTCATCTGAATTTGACCAAACCACATTGCCTTGATTCTAGAAACATGTTTCCAACCAAAATTACCAAGGCTTCACATGAACTCAACATCCTCACCAGCATGTGGGTCATGGGAGTGTGCTAAGCGTCTAGAATGCAGGGATATGGATTGAATTGTTGATATTTTATTTGGGAAGTGTAAGTCCCCAGTGGTGAAGGGGAGGGAAAGGAAATGATGCAAAGTATCTATGGAGATGGCCTCCTGGATTGACCACTGGTTCACAATGAGCCACGATGCAGCACAGCAGGACCCCAGAGTCAGTATATTTGCTTGGCACTCTGGACTTTTCCAGAAGAACTGTAAGGAGGGACCATATCATAGAGATGAGAGGGGAAAATTGTCTGTTTGGCTCTTTCCTGTCCTTTGCTTTCCATTGATTTCAATGGGATAAAACAACATAGAAATTTCAGTAATCTTATCCTATAAATTTTGGTAATCTCCATTAGTGCTGTGGTTCAATCTGAGAAGACTATCACCGGGGCTTCTGTTATGATCCCATGGGCAGTTTCTTCAATCACCTACAGGAGATAAAAGGGTGAGTGTTATAGGATGAAAATATCACCCTGCTTTGTATATGTGTGTATTTTTAAATGAAACCTGTAGAATTGAAAAATTCAGAAAGTTATAAAGGATGTTGTTATAATTATCAGTGTATCTAATGGATGATGTCAGAACTATTGAAGTATCTACCTTATTTGTGATAATATATATTTTAAGATAATAAAACATGACAGGTAAAGATGAAGTCTCTTATGTTTTCCTCCCTATGCTTTCTTTTGAGGCAGCTGTTCCCATGAGTCTGAATGTATATAGTCCATGTTTCATACTTTTCCTATTATGTGTTTATGTTTGTGTATAGATATCTACACACATATAGTAGGTGTATATATACAAGGGAATTTCAAAAATTTCAAAGAAACTGCATATTGTAAATAAATTATGCATGCATGGAGTTTGAAGTTTTTTAGCAACAAAAGAAACTCATGCTAACTTGTAATAACATGTCTGAACAGGATCTACTATGAGGCACTAAGAAGGATAAGACATCAATTTGAAAAGAGCCCCCATCAAAGCAACAGAATTCTGCAAAAATTGAGTCAAGAAGAAAATATTAAATTTATGGTGAAGCTGAAGTGGAAAAATGGGGAAATCACTGATCCTTTATAAAAAGTTTGTGAGGACAGTGCCCCCAAAGAAATCAGCAGTTTACAAATGGATAAGTCATTTTAAGAAGGGATGAGATGATGTTGCAGATGAAGCCCACAGCAGCAGACCATCCACACCAATTTGCAAGGAAAAAATTTATCTTGTTCATGCCCTAATTGAAGAGGACTGATTATTAACAGCAGAAACAACAGCCAACATCATAGGCAGCTCACCTAGTCCAACTTACACAATTCCAACTGAAAAATAAAAGTTGAGCAGTTTCCCTCAATGGGTAACAAAACATTTGCACCCAGGTCAGCCACAGACAGAAAGAGAACCTTCAATGGAAATTTTAAACAAGTGGGATTAAGATCCTGAAGCATTTCTCTGAAGAACTGTAGCAGGAGACAAAACATGGCTTTATCAGTACCATCCTGAAGACAAAGCACAATCACAGCAATGGCTACCAAGAGGTGGACATGGTCCATTCAAAGCCAAAGCAGACAAGTCAAGAACAAAGGTCATGGCAATCATTCTTTGGGATGCTTGAGGCATTTTGCTTGTTGACTTTCTGGAGGGCCAAAGAGCAGTAACATCTGCTTATTATGAGAGTGTGTAGGGAAAGTTGGCCAAAGCTTTAGCAGAAAGAAACCCAGGAAAGCTTCACCAGAGGGTCCTTCTCCACCATGATGATGTTCCTGCTCATTCCTCTCATCAGACAAGGGCAATTTTGCAAGAGTTTTCACAGAACATCTTTGGGCATCCACCTTACAGTCCTGATTTGGCAACTTCTGACTTCTTTTTGTTTCCTAATCTTAAAAAAAAACCCATAAAAGGCCCCCAATTTTTTCTCAGTTAATATTGTAAAGAAGACTGCACTGATGCGGTTAAATTCACAGGACCCTCAGTTCTTTAAGGATCGACTAAGTGGCCAGTATCATTACTTACGAAACTGTCTTGATTTTGATGCAGCTTATCTTGAGAAATAAAGTTTATATTTTATATTTTAATCCTTTAATTCCATTTTTTCACAAACTTTTCAAAGTCCTTTTGTATAATAGTGTGTAGAGTACATATATATATTGTATGGTAGAGTGTATATATATACAGTGTGCACATATATGTATTTATGTGTATGTATGTGTTTGTGTGTGTGCATATATAAAATACCTAAATAAGAGAAAAACTCAAATGCTTAACAACATGATACTATTCAAATAAATTAAAGCCAACCCACACTATGAAATATTACATAGAAATTTAAAAAATTATAGGCAGAACTATACATTCATGAAAATATGTGAGTTTTGTTATTAAATAAACCAAAGCAAGTTACTGACCAGTAAGTATTGTCTGATGCCATTTGTTTACCATGCTTCTTACATTCATAGAATGTATCTAGAAGGATTTAAAAGAAATTATTTATTAGTAGTTTGGGATTGGAAAGTAGACAAGTGGATAATTTTTTTTCCTTTCATCTTTTACCCCTTAAAAATAGCACATATTATTTTTCTAATTAGAAAATACCAATAAAAAGAAAGGGCTGCAGCAGTAATTCCCTCAGTAAAAGCAGCAAAAGAGACACTCCAGGCTTGAGGCAGGGGAAGGAGCCTTGTAGAATGACATCAAAGGGTGGTACAGTTCTGGGAATCAAGAGAAGTGAATTTGAGTCCTGCTTCTGCCACGAAATATCAGGTGTCCCTGGGCAAGGTAAGCTCACCTGGCAAGGAGGTTCATCCCTGATCAGTCACCTCCCTACACTGATTTCTCTCCCCACCACCCACCATGGCCTGTAGACCCTTGCTCATTCTAGGTTGCTTTGTCCCTTTGTGCTTGGACTCAAGCCTGTACTCCTGCCTGGATGCTTTCTGCCAATCATTAGCCTGACTAACCACAGATACCATCACCCCAAAGAAGCTGAGGACCACCCTCTTGCTTCCCAGGGCACCTGCTGCATTCTGCCACTGTGCAGGGGCATTGTCTGTGCACCACCTGCCTCTCCCCTTATGCCACCCTCATGCCCGAACTCTCAGCTCCTAGAAGGCAAGCATCTATGGCTGATTTACCTTTGTGCCTGGCCTAGGGTACACTTTAGCAAAGGTACTTTTTGGCTAAATATTTAAACGTTGTTCCAGTCACCTTCTCTATAAAATGAGGGAGGTGAATCATTAATTCAATTCAGCAGGTACTTACCAACACCTATACCCTCCCAGGCACCTTGTCTGACTCTGGGAAGTCCAGAAAGGTAGGTGTAGCCCTCTAGTAAGGAGGATGAGCTAAGGCCCCTAAAATCCAGTTTTCTGATTCTCATAACCAAAATTTAAAAGATATGCATTCAATTCTTGGCTTTGCCCTGACTTGTTGAATAATCCTGGGAATATCATTTTAGCTTCATGGGGAAGGTCCTAGTAGGAAACACATTGAATAAGGTAGCCTGAACTCACCAAGGCAAGGAGGAAGAGAGTACTGCTTTTCCTGATATACAATACACTGTTACAGGGTTTACTGCTCTCTAATCATGCAATCTACATAATTTATCCTTTTAAAATGAGCCATAATCCCCAAAGAGTGCTTCCCTATTGATATCAAACATAAGAGCGTATTTTTAAGGCCATGGCAACATCACTGCTATACATTAACCTACACAAAATCAATCCATTTCCAAGTTAAGCACAGCCCTAAAAAATCACTAATGGAGCTCAGTGCAGTCTGTTCATGCGATGTGCAGTCAGGAATCATGCATAATGTAATAGTGCAAATGCTAAAAGCAGCTCCCACAAACTAATTTAATCTTGGTTTAATGGACGTAGGGAACTGATCCTCAAAAGAGACTGCCAATGAGATTCTTGGGGGCCTCCCAGCAGCCTGAGAGTAAGCTCCAATATTAGCTTTTGGTTAGTACCCTCTTTCAACTAGCGTCTATTAAAGGCAATCCAATATGGTCATTGAAATTATGAATAACTTGTGTCGATTTTCATGGTGTATGTAATAGAGATGTCTTCCATGTGTTCGTGTAGATCTCTAAGATTGAAATCTTGTACTCTGTACCTTTTAGTCCATGTGCTTCCACCTCAGTCAAGAGAATCTTTTACACTTTGGAAGATCAGAAAGCTAAATGATATCCACAGCCCTCAGGCCATGCCGGAGAGACAGTGTCTGAACAAAGATCGAGGATGTGAAACTTGTATACAATCAAAGGGATTAGAATCACACTGCTGTAGCTTGTCTCCCAGGGACCTTCAAAGCTCCTATATATGCACCTTCCATGTCACATGATTAGAGTAGGAAGAGCATTTGCCCACACAAACATGAGCTTGTGTGAATGCACACACAAACACACACACACACAAAGACTCTTCACCACCCATGAGTCAGGTTTACATCAGATGTTCTAACATCAAATCTAGCTAAATGGATTGTAGAATATCCAAATTTAGGGACCTTGGAATACATTTAGTTCAAGCCACATATTTCAAATTAATGTGCTGATTGGCTTTGGACTTTTACATGAGAAAAGCACAGGAAAGGAAGCGTTGATGGGCAGACAGAATGTACAATGTACTGGTCAAAGTGTGGCAGCAGAGGGTGGGACCTGGAAATGGGAAGAAGTGATGAAGGAAGGTTTAGGGGATGATATCAAAATTTTGCAAGTCAAGGGAAAGTGGAGGAAATAAGAAATAGAAGTTAAATAATGTTATTTAGAGTTAGAGAGGCAACTAATAGAATGTAATTATATAAAGTTCAAACAGGAGGAGGAAATCAAGGGGACAGGTCAGCATGAACACGCTGAATCCTCATCTTCCATATTAAGGAGTTAATAGATATTGACTGAGTGATAAATCAAGCAATGGAGTTGTGAAAGTAGCTGCCAGAAGAACTAAAAACAAATGTTATGTAGATTTTGTCTCTATAGTGTAGAACTGGAGGTGATGAGGAGTTATTTTCTTATGTGTCTATGTCATTTAATTTGTTATAATGCATCAACTATAATTTGATTTTTAGAATTTAAGTGAGTGCTCCTGGGAAGCTGAGGTGAGAACAGGGAGGGACAGAACAAGACAATGTTGGTTTTCCTTAAAAGCAGCTGGACTATTTGTGAAAAACCATGAGCATGTATAGTATGATGCCTCATTTTCTTTTGTTTTTTCATTTAACTTTTATTTTAAGTTCAGAGGTACATGTGCAGGTTTGTGATACAGAAAAATGTATGTCACCGAGGTTTGCTGTACAGATTATTTTATCACCCAGATATTAAGCCGAGTATCCATTAGTTGTTTTTCCTGATCTTCCCCCTCCTCCTACCCTCCACCCTCCAGGAGGCCCCACTGCCTGTTGCTTCTCTCTGGGTGTTCATGTGTTCTCATCATTTAGCTCCCATTTATAAGTGAGAACATGTGGTTTTTGGTTTTCTGTTCCTGCATTAGTTTGCTAAGGATAACAGCCTCCAGCTCCATCCATGTCCCTGCAAAGAAGGACATGATCTTGTTTGGTTTTATGGCTGCATAGTATTCCATAGTGTTTATGTGCCACATTTTCTTTATCCAGTCTAGTATTGAAGAGCATTTAGGTTGATTCTATGTCTTTGCTATTGTGAATAATGCTGCAATGAACATACTCGTGCATGTGTCTTTATGTCAGAATGATTTGTATTCCTTTGGGGATATACCCAGTAATGAGATTGCTGAGTCGAATGGTTATTTCTTTTTTCAGGTCTTTGAGAAATCACTACACTGTCTTAACACAATGGTTGAACTAAATTACACTCCCACCAACAGTGCATAAGAATTCCTTTTTCTCTGCAACCTCACCAGAATCTGTTATTTTTTGACTTTTAAATAACAGCCATTCTGACTGGTGTGAAATGGTATCTCATTGTGGTTTGATTTGCATATCTCTAATGATGATGCCTTATTTTCTCTGTACAATTGAAAACAAATTGAAAATTTACACAATAAACTTTTAACTGTGAATATCTCTAGAATAATATTTTAACACACTTTCTATGATAATAAAAATGTTCTATTTCTGCACTGTTCAATATAGTAGCCACTAACCACAGGTGACTTGAGCAGTTAAAATGTGGCTAGTGCAACTAACTTATTTTTAATGTAATTCATTTTAATTAATTTAAATTGAAAAAGTGACATGTAGCTAGTAGATACCATATAGGGTAGCACAGCTAGAGAATCAGATGGAGGTGTACAAAAGTTTTTTATATCACTTTCTACATTTCTGTATTGTTTGAAATTCTTTCAATATGAACATAATACTTTTATAATTTAAAAATCCCAGACCTTTTTAATTTGAAACAAAAAATAAAAGGAAGAAAAATGAAGCAACCATAAAATAATGCATTGGAAAGTAAGAATTCTACGAAGTGTATTAAAATATTCTGAGAAAAGTAACCAAATAGATAAACAAATACATAGTCTTTGGGATGCCTTTGATCTCTGAACTTTTACATGATGCAAAATGCAAAGCAAATATCTTTGCATCATCTCCTTATACTGTAAGCACTTAGATTTCAGCTCTCTCTGCTCTGCTAAGCTAATTACTATTCTTTCTTCTCCTTTCAGTCTTTCAAAAACACAGTGACATCTCTTATCTGCAGCCCTTCCTCTCTCATTTTATGTCTTTGTAGGTATAGATCTAGATACATGGTTATATAATTTTTATTCCTTTACTCCCATGTGAGTAACAGAGTATAAATATACACGTATGTTCTATTTACCATGTTTGCTACAACCCAAGAGGAAGAAACTTACCAAGGTTTAGTGGCAATATGACCTAGATCTTCTAATCCCTACACCTGACCCCTTTCCATTTATCAAGCTGTTACACCATCTGGAATCTGATCATCTCTAATTATCAGACAAAACAATGACTCTGCTACTTTTTAGCTATCGAACTTCAATAAGTCACTTAATCAGCTTCCTCAACTATAAAATTAAAATAAACATTGAACTGATCTCATAGGGTTTGAAATGAGATATTGCACAGGAAGTGCTTAGCCCACACATGTCAAATAGGAAGCACTTAATAAATGGTAGCTATTGTTTTTTAAAATATAACAAAACTAAGAATTCTCTGCCTTGACTATACAAGGCAAGAGATTTCCAATCTTCTAATACTTAAAATATCAATCTATCCTTTCTCTTTTCTTTTGTGGCCTGCCAATCACTACAGACTTGTTATAAAATTATAGTTACTTTTAGAGAAATGGCAGCCAGTACTAAAAAGATGAAAAATTATGGTGGTAGGCAGTATTCCTCAATCCAATATGACTTATATAAGCAGGAAATGGGTCGTTTGATGGTGTAGCTCATCTCCTTACACAGAGTAGATACATCCAGGTTAAAAAAAATTGCATCCATCATACGTGAAGAGGCCATTAGAAGAGATCCTTGTCCAGGTCACAAAATGGTGACCATTCCCAAGACTATGTTTCTTTTTCCATTTTTTTTGCTTTTGAAATATTATAATAGCTTTCTTCTTATTAGAAAAGTAACACTTACTCATGGAAAATAATTCAGAAAATGAGGGTAAGAGTAAATATTATTCACAGTTCTACCACCTAAAATCACCAAGTATGAACATTGTTAAAATTTTGGTGAATGAAAATTCAGAAAAGATATGCATGTATGTGTAAATCTAAATCTAATTAAGTCCACATAAATATATACAACATAATAGGTATGCAAATATAATTAGACATGATGTAATTATAAATCATAATTCCAAGTTCTAAAAATATAAAATAGACAATAGATAACTTCATAAATACAAACATAAATGGGATAATACTGCCCATAATGTTTTAAGACATCCTTTTATTTGGCTATATATTCTGAATCTTTTCATGTCAGAAGGTTTAGATAGGTATTTTTTTATTTAATATAATACTCTCATATATATAGTCTCACTCTGTTGCCCAGGCTGGACAGCAGTGGTGGGTTCTCAGCTCACTGCAACCCCCAACTCTCAGGTTCAAGCGATTCTCCCACCTCAGTCTCTCGAGTAGCTGGAATTACAGGCACATCCCACCACGCCCAGCTAATTTTTGCATTATTAGTAGAGATAGGGTTTCACCATGTTGACCAGGCTGGTCTTGAACTCCTGACCTCAAGTGATCCACCCTCATTGACCTCCCAAAGTGCTGGGATTACAGGCATGAGCCACTGCATCGGCCGTATATATATATTTTTTACCAATCTCCTACTGATGGACATTTAGATTGTTTCCTGTTTTTGAGATGTTTTGTTTGGTTTTACCACTTTAAACTTTGTTTTGTGACTAATATCTCCATACAACTATCTTTATGAAATCATCCTAGATGTGAAATCATTGGGTGAAAGACAAGCACATTGTTAAGACTTTTAATATTGTGTGCCAGAATCCTCAGGAGTGTAGCCAGTTTCCTTCCCATTGGAAAGCAGTGAAAGTGCCATAGGCTTTATCACCTGCACTAGAGGTTATCAGCCTTCTTGTTCTAGCCAATGCGATAGGTGAAAAAATAATATATCTACCTTGCTTTTATTTTGATCTATTTTGCTTTGATTATTTTGCATGTTTGTGAGGATTAACATCTTTCCATATATAAACTGGTCATTTGTGTGTCTTTTCTTTTTGCCTACAGACTTACCCATTATTCTCCATATTTAGAGGTAGGGATTGGGGATGAAATGGGCCTAGTAGTCCCATAGACCATTATTTTTGGATAAACATACAAATTGACCCTTCCGCTGTCAAAGCTTGAAACTTTTATTTGTTTTATCTGAGTTTCTTCCTCAGGAAAGGACCTTCAGGCCTCTCAAAAAACTATCAAGTACTGAAGCTCACCAGATCAATGCACTAGATGCCTCCTTGCCCCGCCCTAGTTCTTGTTTTCTTAAACATTGTTACATTTTTCCCTGCTAAATATATATATTTTTCCCTTAGTTTTAGTCAGTCAGGGAGATGGATAGAAAACAATTGAAAATTTATACCATAAGCTTTTACCTGTGAATATCTCTCTCACAGTTTTAACTGGACTCCCATCTCATTGGCTGTGGCACCCAATTAAAGACTTCTTCCTTGGCAATATGTGTCATCTCAATGATTGGCTTTCTGTGTGGCAAGCAGCAGGACCTAGATTAACCACTGGTGTTTTGGCAGCAGGGACAATGAATGCCCTCCATAACTCTAGACCTACCTTTTTCAATATTCCCTTTTAATGCTAGCTAAAGGGCCTGCACATTCATGGAGTTTTTTCTAGAGCTCCTCAGCCATCAGTGATTTTCTCCTCTAACTTCTTAAAGGTCATTTTACAAAGTAAAAATGGAATAATATAGTCCATAATGTTTTGACATATCCTTTTCTTTAGCTATATATTGTAAATCTTTTTATGTCAAAGAGTTTATACATGTATCATTTTCATTTAATGCAATATTCCCATGTATATCTTATATACTTTTTTTTATCAATCCTTTATTGGTATCAGCTATTATCGTGGCTTTAACAACCCTTTGCATTGTTCTATAGTTATTTGTTTTATCATCTTTCTTTTCCAAAAAAAGTCCTTAGTTTCTACTCTCTTAGAAATACCAAACAAGAGAATAGAATAGTCAGAAGATTACATGCCATTTTAAATACATACTTATTGTGTATCTATTGGTAGTGAAGGAGGTATATATACTTATAAATATCAACACATTGATTGATGTATTTGCCTTAGCTCTGCTATATGCAGGAACAAATTAGCACCAAATGTCAGCAGCTAAACCCAACAAATATATATTTCCTTCTCATGGGAAGTCCAACATGGGACCAGTGGTCTTTCTCATTCAACTCTTCCATATGGAATACATCAATTCCAAAATTGTCTTTGCAGAAAAGGAGAAAGATGAAGGAAGTACACACACAGTTAGAGATCTTAGCTCAGAAATGACATGCATCTCTTCTATTCACAGTCCATTGGCCAGAATTGATCCCACTGGGATCTCATGGCCCCAACCCAATTGCAGAGGGGACTAGGAACTGAGGCAAGTGCACTGAGATTCAGTGAGCATTATTTGCCTCTGCATACTTGGCTTCAGTGTTTGGGGAATTTCCCAAGTATCAACTCATGTCTATCTATGATCTAGGTGGCTATCATTATCTCAGTCTTCCAGATGAAGAAAATAAGTTCAGAGAATTTAGGCAACTTGCCTAGGGTTACTCAGCCGGTAAGTGGTAGAGCTGGGATTTAAAGCTCATCTGTCTGAATCTGAATTCTGTAGTCTTAATGAGTAGATTATGAAAAATTGATTTATTAAATTGCATAAAGAGAAACTCTAATTAAAAAATAGTTATGGGGTTGTAAACCATGGAAATCTACCCATACATGGGTAAATGATCTCTTACTGACCAAAATGCAATGCTAAGCTCCTGTGCACACACTTAGTACATACTTACGGATTGAATGGTAAGGTCTAAACCAACTTGTGCATTTTTAAAAATAAGCCAAGATTCGATTCTATGAGGAAACCGTATTTATCTCCTGATAGCAACTAAAGTGAAAATGACTAAGAGCAATAAAAATCCATTTTGCTATTTAGTACAGTTTGTCAGACTAGAGAAATGGGATTGAATTTCAAAGCCACAGGCAAGCTGGCTGCAATCTGCAGCTACACAGTTGATGGGGTTTTTTTTCTTCTTTATTTACAACTCTTTTGATAAGCCTTCAGCAAGTTACATAGGTTGTTCTAGTTGTATCTCGTTTGACTGGATTAGAATACTTGATGACAGTTTGGATAAGTTTGAGGCAGATGGTTCTTGACATTTTTCATGGCATCAGTTACAAACCATGCAAGAAACTCTTTCATCCTTTGTTTATCCTTCACTTAGAAGCCACTATAGTAGATCGTTTAACTTTCATTTTTCACAGTGCTGATTAAGGCATACTACAAGGCAGATGTTATTCCGTACCATTTTTAACAATTTACATTTAGCACCAAAGCTGGCTTTGTACTTGTTCCAGTAGATCAATTCACTTTTTTAAAACTTCAAGGTCAATCTCTGTAACACTGTGACTCCCTTAACAATTTAATGTTTCATAAACTTCTCTTGGTTACAGAAGCCCTGCCACCATCCCATTTATAAGTGTTTGCTAGTCAACACACACACACACATACACACACACACACACACACACGACAATTCAATAGTTTCCTTCCTCAACAGAGTCAAACCATTATTTAAGAGGCAGTTCATTAAACAAAGAGAAGAGTCTCTAAAAAAGAGTCTGAATTTAACCTGTCAGAATATCTTAATTTTTGCTAAAACAGTTCTAGAACCAGAAGTGATTGACAGTCCTGAAGTATTCTTTGCTCCTCACAGCTGAGATGCAGAACAAAGAGTAAGAAACATTTCCCTTTTCTTTTTCATGTTTTAGTGATTTAGCAAATTATATCCTATTTAATTCAACCTAAGACAAATAAAAGTAGATAAAAGCATCTTTAGATACAATGCAATGTTGACAAATATGCTCATTAAACACAAATTGTGACAAAATTCAATTGCACCTTAGGAAAGCACAACCTTTCACTTTCTCTCTGGAATAACTTTAAAGTTCCATCCTCTTTACATACAAAAGATAACATCTTGCTCAGGAAAACAAGTGTGTGGAAAATCTGGAAAACAGTCTACATGAATTATGTTCATGTGTGTTCCCTACCTCATTAGAAAGTAAGGAGTTGAGACAGGATTATGGGACATGTAAGCCGGAGAGTTTTTTCTTTAAGAGGAAAAGAACAAAAAATAAACAGCAATAACAACAAATGAGTAAATGGAGGGATCCATGATCTCCTTCATTCTGCCATTTGCAGAACCAATCCACAAATAAGGAATCGTCCTTAAGGGCTAAATGGAACTTTGAAAGATCATCTGGTCAAGCCCCTTGGATAAAATACAGTAATTGGAAAACCAACCTCTCTCTTTTCCCCCTTTTACTTGCTGAGGGAAGAGGCAAGGAGGAGGTAGAGAGGAAATAATTTTACTTTTTAAAGTACCACTTCCAAACCAGTCTTTTTGTAACTCAGGGTAACCATCACGGGGTAGCCTGCTCTCTAACAAGCCCGTTTCTTAAATGTGGGCGAGCCTAAGGCAGAATCTGAAAGTTGCAATAAACAAAGAAAAACTGAGGCTGATTTGCATATTAATAGGCAAGGGAATCTGTCTAGATCAAGTGCACTTTCAAAAGTGGTTCTCTTTCTTATTGTGTTTTAACTAATGTGGGTCTCTGTCTAATAGTATTTGCCTTTTGTTGTGTGTGGTCATAGACTTTAACTTACTTGAACAATTCAATAATGTATTGAGAGGAGGGAGTACAGGAAATAAGGCAAGCAGGTGTTAAGGGGAGTTGTCTTAATATAGGTTTTATTATTAGTCAGGTATGGTAAGACCAACAGATCAGGAAATGATTGCCATTGAATAGATGGCTTATTATGCTTACAGATTTCAGGAAGAGGGGGCATGCCACAGAGGGAGGAGCCCACACAGAGAAACAGTGGGGTCAGCCAGAAGACAGAGAGAGAGAGGGGAAACTCTGACAAGTGCCATAATTGTGGTTTTCTGAGGAAGAAATGAGCAATGAGCAAGGCAAGGTAAACAGGCAGAGGATTGTATAGTTTGAATAATTTCAGTGGGCTCTAAGGCACAGGGGCTGTCCTAGTTGTCTGGTACCTGGTGCTGGGATGATTAGGGCAAGTGGATTGTGGCCTGGAATGTGAAAACCCCATCAGGGAGGTGGTTGAGGGCATGGACTCCGGATTTGTTGGTTTGCATTTGAAAAGCGTGCTCATGGATGAGCTGTTTACTATCTTTAGAAATTGGCTAACCTTGGGATGGCAGTCCCTTCAGCCCCAAATGTCAAAGCATCAATATGCGGAAAATTAAGGACATGGTTAATGCATGAGGGTAGCTTTTCTCCAACCGCTCTGCTGAGGATAAGCTAAGTACATGGAGCTGAGAGCCTCAGAGTTCTGGGTGGTGACCAGTGATGACAGAGAGGCGATGCATGGCTGAACCAGGAGCAGGAGGCTGGAGCACACAAGGTGTGGTAGTAACTGCCCAGAGGGTAAATCAGGAGTCATATTAGTTATCTATCACTGCAGGACAGTGCCCCTAAACTTAGTGGCTTAAAACAACAAACACGTATTTTCTCAGAGTTTCTTAGGCACTAGGATCTGGGCACAACTTAATTGGATGTCTTTGTCTCAGGGCCTTTCACAGGACTGCATCAAAGTGTGGCAGGCTGGGACTGCAGTCATCTTCAGGTTGGATGGGACAAGATGGACTTCCAAGCTCACTCACATGGATGTTGGCAAGCCAGAAGTCCTTGCTGGTTGTTGACCAAAGACATCAAATACATCGGTTTCTTGCTATATGGACCTCTCCATAGAGTATTCATAATATGGCACTTGTTCTCCCAGAGCAAGGACTCCAAGAGAGTGACAGGGAATGAAACAGGGTAGGAGAAGTTGGGCAAGATGGAAGCCAGAGTCTTTTTGTAACCTAATCTTAGAAGTGGCATCCCTTCACTTCCGCTGAATTCTATTCTTTGGAAGAGAGTCATTAGCTCCAGCTCACACAGAAAGGGAGATTACACAGGGTGTGATTACCAGGAAGTGGGGACTGTCAGCAGAGGTATTTTATAGGCTGCCTGCCACAGGAGTGGGCAGAAATTTTAAAAGCAAGCAAATGCTAAATGAAATGGCTCATGTTTGTAATCCCAGCACTTTGGGAGACTGAAATGGAAAGATCACTTGAGACCCAGAGTTCAGGACCAGCCGAAGCAACATAGCAAGATGTCTCTACAAAAAAAATAAATTATCCAGCCATGATGGTGTGTGCCTGTAGTCCCAACTACTCAGGAAGCCAAGGTGGGAAGATGGCTTGAGCCCAGGAGTTCAAGATTGCAGTGAGCTGTGATCACACCACTGCACTCCAGCCTGGGGACAGAGTGAGATCCTTTCCCAAACAAACAAACAAAAACACCAAACACAAAACACCTCCTTTTCAATTACATAGTAGTACAAAGTAGTACTTGTGGCTGTGCTTGGGTTACAACTGCACCCATTTTACTGGTGCATCTAGAGAAAGAAGTAGTAATTAATCCCTTAGCTACTGTCAGGAAAGATTAAATGTCAAGCCTACTAACTTCCAGGTTCACATAATCTCTTTAAAATACAAGGAAAGTGCAAATGCAATAAATGGAAGTTCATAGTCCGAAAATGTATAGCGTTCCTTGCAAAGGGCTAAATAACATTAACAGGCTGTGCAAACTCAATAATAACCTTAAATAGACAAATAAGAAAAAGTATTGCTACTATGGTTGTATTAGTCTTTCAGCTTGGCAAAGATTAATTAGATTGATATTGCCCAGTGTTAAGGAACATATGGAGAAAAGACACTCTCATACCCTGTTGAAGGGAGTATAATGGGTATGAAATTTTGGCAGGCAATTTGGCAATACCTATCAAAAGTGAAACTTGTGCAGACCCATTGATCCAGCAATTCTACTTCTGGGAATTCAACCCAAGGAAATAATCAGGCAAGCACAGAGAGAAGTATGTGCAAAGATAGTTGTTGCTATGTTGTTGAAAGTAAATAAATGAATGGGTAGATAGATTAGATAGATGGATGATGGTTGGCTAGGTCAAGTAAATTATTGATTAGATAAAATATAGGCACCCAATAAAATTGGCAAATTTTATCTGCATTTATTGACAAAGAGCCACCTCTATAACATATTTCTGGAAGAAAAGAGAACAGGAATATGAAAAAGAAAACAGTGATTTTATATATGACTGAAAAGTTTTATTATAAAATGTTAATTGTGATTATTTCCCAATAGAAAGATTTCTCATGATTTAACTTTTTGTCTGTATCTTCTCACACTTTCTATAATTTTTTTAGAACTAAATAATAGATCGTATTTTTTATTTAGGCCATTAAGGAATATGGCCTCTGCACTGAGTATGGCAGTTGATTTTATTTTTAACTTTTTTATGGAAAGGCTTGCACAGTAAATACCCATTCTCAGTTTATTAAACATCATGGAGACAATATTTGTAATGAACAAAGGGCTTAGGGCTTCAGTAGAAGAAGGGGTTTTTTTGTCTTTTTTTAAATTTTTTTTAATTTTTTTGGCCAGAGCAATAATAATGCTACTGTAAATGGGAGATCTAAGGACACTTTATGTAGCTCAGCCACAATTGAAAAGCTTTTTCCACTCAAAACACATGCTTGAATTAGTTAGAAGAGCATGCTTCCAAACAATAACCTGTTGCTTAAATGTTGTAATAATTGTCTTGAAAAACAGTTTATCAAACCTTGTGCACTTGATTTTTCAGCCCTCTGTCTATCTAGATGTTTCCTATCACAGAATCAGCTACAAAATGGGCTTCTTCTTTCACTCTGAACTCAAGCCAAGAAGACATCTGTGCCCTCAGCCCTTCCAATATATTCCATCTGCTTATTTCTCCACTTTGAGAGCAATATGGAATTCACAATGCTGGCTTTTGTATATACCCTTAAGTCATGTTATTTATTTATTTATTTATTTATTTATTTATTTATTTATTATGTGGCTTTTTGGCCAGGTGTGGTGGCTCACGCCTATAATCCCAGCACTTTGGGAGGTCGAGACAGGCAGATCACCTGAGGTCAGAAGTTAGAGACCAGCCTGGCCAACGTGGTGAAACCCCATCTCTACTAAAAATACAAAAATTAGCCAAGCATGGTGGCAGGTGCCTGTAATCCTAGCTACTTGGGAGGCTGAGGCAGGAGAATAGCTTGAACCCAGGAGGTGGAGGTTGCAATGAGCCAAGATCATGCCACTGCACTCCATCCTGGGTGACAGAATGAGACTCCATCTAAAAAAAAAAAAAAAAAAAAAAGAAGACTTTTCTAGGGTTACAAGTTTTATAAAATATCCTAGCACTTGAATATTCTCATTTGGAAAATAATGATTGAAAATTAGGTTGAATCTATTGCTTTAATGATTGAAAATTAGGTTGGATCTATTGCTTTAACTGGAACTGACATCAAAACTACCTTCTCTACAAAGATCTGTGAAATTAGTTTATCATCAAAAGGTACTCTGGTCAATCAATTTCCTGCTGCTAAGTTAAGACAGCATCATTGTCTGCCTTAACAGAGTAGAATGGTGCCTTTGGAATGGAGAACATTTGTTTGGCATTCATCTTGCCATACAGAGAAGACATAGGTCAATCTGTCCTTTTGACAAATTGAACCCAAAGAACAGATCTTAGAAATGATAAATATATCATATGTATTCCATAATGGAATAAAAAAAAGTCCCTACTCACTGATCCTCTGCCTACTTCATAAATAGAGAAAAATTCTTCATTATACAAAATGAGGAATTTAAGTTATTTTCCCTATTAAAGAACATCCTCTCATAGTTTTTCAAGTTATTATGTGACAATTTGATGTGGATTAATGTACGGCTGGCTCTTATCACCTAGATGAAAAGAGTATCAGTGCTAAGATGGGCATAGGAAACATTTCATTATTTAATTATTCTAAACAATCTTGTGCTGTAGTACACAAAAGATAACAGTTAACATACTGCGAAACATTTACTGATATAGAAGCCAAGACAAAGAAAAAAGATTCAATTTCAAAGGAGAAATACACTGTCCAAAGGAATAATTGCTGTCATGGGGTTTTCAAACAGAAGTTAAGAGATAAAAATTAATAAAGAAGCTTTGAAGAGCTTATGTAGGAACACGATTGTAGGGGCATAGTTTCTACTTCAACATTTCATTCTCCTTCTTCTTTATCCTAACAATCTTCGTTCCTGCTTTTCCTTTCCCATGTGGATTCCTAAAAGCAACCTGTGTCCATATCCCATGATAATCCTATTTTTGCCTTTGGAACAGACACTATTTCCGTCATCGGATACACCCTCAGAATCTCCCTAACAGTGCTTCTCATTGCGATGAAAATGTGCAAAAAGGCATGATAGTGAAACTGCACTTGGGAGCCCAGTGTCATTCTCCTACCCTTTGATACATTCCACATTTGGAGAAGACACACTGAGCCTGTTCAAATCACTCCGACCTTATTCTCTGAAGATCACTGAGGTTAGATGAAGTGAAAGAATAAAAGAGGCATCAATAGGTTCCAGCTGGCCTAGTTTTCTCTTCTTACTGACTGCTGGTCCAACTGCCCAACAATGATCCTAGTTTATCTCTAGACATGGAGGCAACAGACTTCCAGAAACTTCTTCACCATATCCCTTTTGTGGTCCCACTTTTGCAACTGGACACGCCTGGCTTCCCAGATTTTCCTACAAATTCTAAATTATTGCCCTGTGCCCATTATTTGAGAGAGCTGGTTAGTGATTTTTTTCTCTGATCCAACAACTCCCCTTTCCAGACCTTATTTGTCCAACTCCCCCAACATTTGTAAGATCTAATCCCACAATAAATCCTATAGCCCATAATAATTAGAGTGGGTTCTGCTCCCTGGTTGAACCCCAAGTGATTCAGCCATTGCTTGGTTCTGACCTTAATTTATCCAAAGGAAGAGATCAAAGGAGCAAAGAAGTGTGCAAATCCAAGTCATGTTCAGGGCTGCTGAGGGTACAGGGAGTAATAAGCCTGGAGAAGTGACAATTAGGGGAGATCTGAGATCTTCTAAGGCAGTCACAGTCAATTGGTTAATGCATGGCCATCCCCAATCTCCTTCCGTCTTACCGATATCCCTTCCCAGCTCACCTGGCAGTGGGAGACAGCCATTTCACTCAGTTTCGCCAACGAAAGATGAGGAAATGTCTACAGGGAGGCTTCAGGGAGGCTTTCACTTCCTCAAAAAGAGGAAGAGAGTGAAAGAAGAGCTTACAGATGCCATTTCTCTCTCTTTTCCTGCCTTGACTTCATCCATGATACTTGGAACAATAGCAGTCATCTTACAGCTACGCTGCAGAATGCAAGAAGAAAAAAGCCAACAACACTAAGAAGAGTAGAGCAAAGAGATGGAGCTCGGGTCCATGATGAAACAGTGAGCTACCAGGCCAAGCCCAGGGCTGTCTATCTTTGAGCTTCCTTCTAAATAAACAATAAACATCCTCATGATTTAAGCCAATGCTATTTTGATTTCCTGTTACTTGTAGCGAAATGTACTCTTTATAGCTACCTGTTCTCAAGCTCTTTAAGTAGTCATGAAACGAGAAAAAATGGACAGAAAAGAAAAAATTTTGAGTACCTAATATGTATTGAGCATAGGTTAGGCATGTTTACTCACATTTTCCTATTTAATCCTCACAATTACTCAGTGATGTAATGCTGTCTACATTTTAGAGAGGAGAGAATTGAGACAGAGAAATTAAAAATCTGTCTAAAGTCAATTAATTTGTGGAGCCATAATTTGAATCTTCTGATTCAAAGCCCAATTTAGTTTTAATCAGGCCATAGATAAGACATGTTCTTTACCCTTTGTAAGCATCCTTAGGATTATGAGGGAGAGGTTAGAAATGTAGGTTTCTGACTCATTGACATTATAGGATGGAACTCAATGAAGAAAGGATATCTAAGATGCAGAGATAACTAAAAGGCAGAATAATCTTTCCTAAAGATACGAGTTGTTCATCAAGGGAAATATTGATGTACAAGTGGGTGGTATGGTTATTTTGGGGGGCCGTTATAAACAAATTCTAGCATTAAGAGAGTGATCTAAATGATTTCTTTAGTTTCTTCTAACTCTAAGATTCTATGACTTTCTAGATATGGCAAGGTGTTTTCCACTTTGTGCTGGCCACCAAAAGTTTCTAAAATGGGAGTTGTTCTTTCCAGTACCTCCGTCTTAAAGATGCTATCTCTGAGGGACAGAGCAAAGATCTTTCCTAGTTACTGGTTTAGAAAATAAAAGCCTTTCCATGCCTCAAGGCCAGACCTTAGAGAAAAATCACATGACTGACAAGCAACTCATTAACCTGGGAAAAGAGCACCAGTTCAATTTACAGGCATGGAGAGGTGATTATAGACTGGGTATAGTCCATAGTTCATATATTAACAATAAAGAAAATAGTTTCTGGTCCACCAAAAGTATACTTTCTCTTTTCTACAAATAAAAAATGACCAAAGGCCCAAGGAAACACAAAAGGAAGAAAGTATTCCCCTTTGACACGACTTTAAATGATTTTAAAAGACATTTCGGCATAAGGATTTTACTCTGCCCAACCAGAACTGGATTTGTAGATAATGGTGGTCTTTCAGGGCAAAGACCTAGCAGAGAAGTGACTTGGAAAATAAGAAACGTTTTAGTATTTAGTCCTGAAGATAATTTTGGAAATTATCTCTGAATCTTTAGAGACCCTCTAGAGAGGGTATCAGTGAAATGTAAGTTGTCTTTGTGACAGTATAAGGGAGCTTCTTCTTCCTGCTGTAGGGTCTGTGGATGCTTGATTTAGCTTTTTGAGAGTCTGCTACATGACAGGCAACTACAAGCTTTTTTAACAAACCCTGAAATCAAAAATATCAGCATAAAATGATAAATACAGTGAACAATGTGATGAACAAGTATAGTATTTCAGAAACAGAAGGAACCATATGTATTGTTCACCCTGCCTAAAATCATCCCATTACTCTCTCACCCTGCAAAACATATCTCTCATTTTTCCATTCTGTGTCTTATAATTAATGCTATCTCCAATCACCCTACTTAATTTGAGTATTATTTCACTATTCTCTATCAGGAAACCATGCTTATTTTCTCTGTACTATTTATTACAATTTTCAGTTTTATATTCATTTGTTTGCTTGATTATATATTTCTGTCTCTTTTCTTTACAATATTATTATCAAGAAAGCAAGAATGATATCTGCATTACCTAAAGTTTCACATAGTATTTCGCATTGAGTAGGCACTCACAATATGATGGATGGATGGATAAGATGGATGATGACCAACTAAGAAAAAGTTTCATCGAGGTGATTTAATCATGATAGGTCTTGACAAATTGGTAACTGAACACGGTCAGGGCTGGGGAAATGTGTATTCTAGGTATAAGGGACAGCATGAAAAAAAATGGCACATACCTAGGAAGGTAAGTCAGTGGCCTTAGAGAAGCAATGACTCCTACATGAAGTGATAGATTCCCTCCCCAACCTCTTATCATTGTAGTCATTCAGGATGGACAGAAAATAAGAGTAAAGTAGAAAATGAAACATTCAATTTGTCATCAGTTCATGAGTTCATTTGTCAATTACAATTTTTTGAAATGTTTTAAAACTCACAACACATGAAAATACATTTTGACAGCAAAATGGCACAAATATTTTAGTATTGTACAAGGCAAAATATAAAACCTACTCTCCTCTCTTTCTTTATTTCAACCAACCCCATTCTTTCTTTTCTCTTCAGAGTTAAATACTTAACCATTGGGAAAGTATACACAGTATTTCCAAACCTCTCCCATGCATTTATACACATAGGCACACACATGCGTTCACACACACCTCCGTATGCATACATCCATGCATATAAACACACACATTCACACACATACATACATACATAATTATAAATCTCTAGCAGGCAGAAAGGAGCTCAATGTCCATAGCTAAGAATGTAAAAGCTCCCTCTGCATTCACCATGGAAGCACACCATGGAATTTGAGCTTTATCATTCTTAACTGTGAAAGTAGGGGCTCGGCCCTCAGCTTTCCTAGACATAGGTGGAAAATGTGATTTAAGAACAGATTTGACAGGAGATGCTCTGGAACTGTATTTGGCATATCTGTACACATGAGGGGCTTTTCTTCCATGTCTCCTAAAAGCTCTCTAATTTCTATTAATTTTAGGAACTGACTCTTCCTGAACCCCCAGTCCAATCCTCATTTAGTGCACTGGCCCCAGTCTGAAATTCTATAGCCTGCAGCCATTCTGTTAAAAAGAATTTCCTGAGTTCCTCTGCACTCAGTGCTACATGAGGCTGCTCCTCTCCACATTCCTTTACCAACTGTGAGCTCATCTTTCCCCCATGCCTTAGTGCCAACAAAGGGATTGCTAGTCTTGTAGGGGAAATAAGAGGGGACCCCTGAAGACAGGCCCCAAATGATAGGAGAGGCTCCCATGAGTTCTCTAAATACCATGCATGCTCCACTCTGCTACGTATCAGCTGCCCAGAACAGACACAATTTAAGGCCGCAGAAACAAACCCAAGCTATTCTAATAAAACAAATATTTAACAGTTCATTTAATCCAAGATATTGAAAAGACCTGCAAAGCCTCAGGGTTACCCTCTCCCCAGGGATGCTGCTGTGTTTGAGTAATACAGATGCTGCCCCATTCCCAACTCAGCAGCTGCTATGACAACACCAGCCTCTCTGCCCTTCTATTTGTTTTCTGGAATCATCATTGGATTCATTCCAAAGGAGGCTCAGGTGGGCTAATCAGGGAGAGTCATAAAAAAGTATGGCTGTGGAATAACTACTAGTGTCTAAAAAGATGCATAAACTTTACTCATCAGTCACTACTGAGTGCCTACTATGTGTTGGGCACTGTTCCAGGTACTAGGAATACAGCACTGAACAAAACAGACAAAACTCCATGGTTTGATGGAGGTGATGCCTTAGTGAATTTTTAAAAAAGACAACAAATAAGTAAGGCATAGTGTGTCATATGATAGTGAGTGCTGTGGGTAAAATTACTAGGGGGCACGGGGAGCTCTGGGTGGAAGAAATACAATTTTAAGTAAGGTAGACAGGGAAGGACTCACTAGATCTGGTAGAGCCATTTATTCAATTTTAAGGACTTTGGTCTTGAATTAAATCAATTTCAAAAGAAGAGTTCCAAGGCAAGTTTCAACTCTGGATTGAACATCTAAGAAAATATTCATCCACACCCCATCCCTTCCTTCTTTTGGGAACTGTCATCGGTCCCCATTGATGGCTCCCAAAGAAGCTGCCATGTTCTTACATGACAGTGGCTATGTTTGATCCACTCAATAGGAGGCACCTGACTAAGAACAAGTGGCTGAGTCTCCTCCCTGAGAACTTTGTAGACTTGAGAGTCAGAGAATATGCCAGACTGTCTCATGACACAAGCTCTCAGGAGCAAAGCTCAAGAGTCATGGGTGGTCATGTTTGCTACTTTGTGGAAATGATGGAGGGTGAGGTTAACAAACAGAAAGCAGCAAAACAAGAGCAGCATATTTCAAGTTCCTGGTGAATCCCCCCCACCCATTCCAACAGTTAGCTTATCTAATCCTTCCTTGGATACAGAAAGACATGGAATCAAGTAGCTAGAACCTGCTGAATACAGAGCCTAGGCCTCATGGGAGGAGTGCAAAGGACAAATCTATAGGACTATTGGAAATTATTGTAAGCCTACATGGTGTTGCAATTCCAAATCATAAGACACAAAAACATTAGCCTATCATCATCACACCTTTGCCCTGCTGATAAAATAACTGAATCCAACACTAACCATATTGGTCTCAATGTTTTATTGCCCTGAAGAGGGGATCCACAGATGCTCTAACAAAGGTAAATGTGGAGATTATGGTGGATTGGATGTAGATAGTGGATCCCCTACAGATCATCTTCTGACCTACAGATTATCTAAACAACCTGGGAGCTGTCTACAAAGACTGATGCCTGGCCACCATTTGCCCCGGATCCACTTAACTGGAATACCTTGGGCAAGAATTCAGGCACACGTATTTTTCAAATGCTCCCTAGGATTAGCGATAATACAGCAAGTATATGGAACCACTATTATGTACCATGTTAGTTCAGACCTTGGGCGCTCCACTATGCTCCACTATGTAGAGAAAATGTAGAAAGCAGCAACTATGGATGAATAGTCAATTCCAGTCCACTGGTCCATTGGCTGTTCCTTGAACATATTATCTCAGAACCTTTGCACTTGCTGTGTCCTTTGACTGGGACATCCTTCCACAAGACATGGCTTGGTCTCTGGCTTCTTTTTCATAATTCCTAGAATGTCACCTTCTCTTGAGGTCTTCCCTGGCTTCCCTATTTCAGATTTTAAACTCCCTCACCCCCATCATTTCCTCCTACTCCCCCCTACTTCTTTTTTCCTCATTAGCACTTGTCACCCTTGAATACGTTATATTTTGTATGTAAAATATTGTGTATTCTCTCTCTCTCTCTCTCTCTCTCTCTCTCTCTCTCCCCCCTCCATTAGAATGTAAGCTCCATGAGGCAGCAATATCTCCAGGATCTGAAATAGTCCTTGACACAGATGAGGTGGTCAAATATTTGTTGAGACAATGAGCGCCTTCTTGGCTGTGTTTCACAATAGTTAATGATCCTGTTCTCATAGGTGAATACTAAGAGTCATTTTGATCTTTACAGTTAGGAACCAGGTTTCCAACATGGTACCTTAGCACATGCTTTTACATGTGTACCCCAGCACATTCTTTCTTGCATCCAAACAGATTTCTACCTGCTTGAAGACCACCTGAAAAATGTTTTACATGGTACCCAGCACATGCTTTCTTGCATCCAAACAGATTTCTACCTGCTTGAAGACCACCTGAAAAATGTTGCTCAGGCTGAGAAGGGAAGGATGCTGGCTAAAGCAGAGCCTGAGGCCAGCTGGTTGGAATCTGGCAGGAAGATGAAGAGAAAGTGCACACCTGTGTCAGCGAGCTCTGGCTCGGGAACCAGACCCACATGAACGCAAAGCCTCTGTAAAGTCTGCTTCTTAGAGAGAAAAAGGGAAAGAGCTTCCTGTCAACTCACCAACAAGTTTCTGTTTCATTTCAGAGTCTCTCTAACAGGTTGAAAAGCACCAACGAAAATGTGTGCTGAAGGTGGAGAAGCAGGGCTTAAGGGAGGGGAGAGGTTGCATAGGTGTCTTTTATACGAAGTGCCCCACATCTGTATAGCAAACTTAGTATTATCCAAACGTTTTCCAGATACCAAGATGAAAACACAACCTCAAAGGCTTCTGCAAGAGAGGACTGGGAGTAAAGGTGATTTTCTGCCTTGGAAAAAGATAAAAAGCAATTATCTCTGCAAGTGCTCAGCGCCCCCCGCTCCCAATTTTTCTAATAATTTTAATAGACAAATAAAAACTATATATATTTATGGTATACAACATGATATTTTGATACATTGTGGAGTGACTGAATCAAATTAATTAACATACGTATTACCTCACATACTTATGTTTTTTGTGGTGAGAACATTTAAGATTTACTCTCCTAGGAATTTTTAAGTATACAATAGGTAGCTGTTAACTCTAGTCATCATGTTGTGCAATAGATCCCCTGAACTGATTCTTCTTATCTAACTGAAATTTCGTACCCATTGACAAACAGCCCCTGAATTTTCCCCCACTCCAGCCGGTCATCACCATGCCTAATGATAAAATAACTGAACCCAACACTAACCACATTGGTATCAGTGTTTCATTGCCCTGAAGAGGGGAATCCATAGATGCCCTAATCACGATAAATGTAGAGACTATGATGGATTGGATCTAGAATCGCTGTACAACTATCTGGGAAACACCTTTTATTCTCTACTTCTGAGCTTGATTTTTTTTTAGATTCCACAAATAGGTGGGATTGTGCAGTATAGCATTTGTCTTTCTATGACTAACTTATTTCACTTAGCATAATGTCCTCCAGGTTCATCCATGTTGTCACAAATGACAAGATTTCCTTCTTTTTAAAGGCTGAATACTATTCCATTGTGGGTATACACCACATTTTCTTTTTCCATTCATTTATTGCCAAATCAATTTTTTTTTCTAGTCTCCTCCTCTTCCCTTCCCCAACACACACAGGAATGTCCCACCTTTTCTTGAGTTTCCACTGAGGAACTAAAGACAGGAAGTAAATCCAGAATACAGGTGAGGCCTCAAGACTACTTCACATGTTTTCATCTTCCACAATGCCAGTGGGGTAAAGAGTCTTGAAGGAAATTTATTCTTTTTTTCTTTTTCTTTCTTTCTTTTTTTTTTTTGATATGGAGTCTCACTCTGTTGCCCCCGCTGGAGTACAGTGGTGCGACGTCTGCTCACTACAACCTCCATCTCCCAAGTTCAAGCGATTCTTCTGCCTCAACCTCCCGAGTAGCTGGAACTACAAGCGCATGCCACCACGCCTGGCTAATTTTTGTATTTTTAGTAGAGACGGGGTTTCACCGTTTTGTCCAGGCTGGTCTCAAACTCCTGACCTCATGATCTGCCCACCTCAGCCTCCCAAAGTGCTGGGATTACAGGCGTGAGCCACTGCGCCCGGCCAGGAAATTTACTCTTAACAGCAAAGTGGTGCATACCTACAAGGTCCATCTCCACGTAAGAAGAGTGATAAGACCCAAAGTGATTTCTTATTTCCTTTATCCAAGAGTGATCTGAATTACCATTAAACCATGCCACTAAGAGACCCAAGGAAAAGAACAGGAAATCCTGTCTCCTGCCCATTTTTTGCCCACCTCACCTGTGAATGGAGTGGATGCTTCAACATTAGAATCTAATTGTTGTTGCTCCTTTCCATGCCTTCACTTGAATTTTCCCAATCCCTGCCTTTCTCCTGACTGCTTTACTGAACTGTTTATTACCAGAAACTTCAATTTCTTCTCTTCTACCCCTTTTTCCTTCCCCCCATTGTATAATCTGCAGTGTCATCCAAGTAATCCTCTTAAAACTAAGTCCTGACTCTCTCAACTACCCAAATCTTCCATGACTCTCAGTTACCTCCTAACATTGAAAATCCTTACCTGGCATTTTATCCTTACTTTCTATTCCTTGTAGGTAGGGGGTCTATATAATTTATTGCTCAGATCAGGACACTTTCATCTGGGACAAATGCAAGCCAAGTGGGATTCTTGAACATCAGGCAAAAGTCAGAATGTCTTAGGAAAACTGGGATGTAGGAATCACTCTCTCTGTAGATACATCTTATCCCCAGGAAACTTAAATACTTATTTGCTAAACATGCCCAGAACTTGGCTGCCTCCATCTTTACACAGTATTTCCCATCTGCAAAGAGTATCCACCTCTGTATTTAGACTTTTTCCCATTCTGCAACCCTTCCAGGTCGTGCTAAGGACCTTTTGTCTCAAGATGTGTTTGTTGACAACTTTTCAGCTCTAGAGCGGAAAGTTCGAACTCCTTCCTTCTTCCCACTGAACACTATCTATAACCCTTTTATGGCATTTAACTATAATATATATACTATAATGTAAGGGCCTTGAGGGAGCTACCATGACCAATTCATAGGTACAGCTAATATGCGTAAAAAGAGAATAGATGTTCGAAACTAAGGCAGATACTTCAGAAAGAATCAATACATGGTGAGTAACTTTAAAAGTGGCCATTTGATTAGGAATCAGTAAGAGGACTGTAAAAGGCTGCAGAAATATAAAAGGGGTCTGTACTCAATTGCTTGAGTTCCATTTAGTTCTCACTTGTCTTAAAGAAGCTGAAGTAAAAATCATAGCCAATACACTGTAAGTATGGTTTAATGCAAGAAAGGTAATATGAAACCCCAATTAGGGAACTCATACCTAAAGGAAAGGGCTTGGCCCTAGAGAGGAAGAAAGATAAATGTAATTTACATATGCATGTGTGTTGTGGGTGTATTTAGGTAAAATAAAGACTTTAAGGCATCTAAGGTATCAAAAGATTTGTGATTCCCAGAATTAACTGACTTTTTCAAGTATCTGAAAAACCTAAAAGTCCCTGTTGCAGCTGACGAAAGGATCAAAAAAAAAAAATCATGTTTTTTTCGGTCATTTTCAAGAAAGCTGCCTTTATTTAGTGAGTCTTCCATGTAATCAGGTTCTTCATCCAGAATCCAAATAATTTCTCCAACATCAATTCCATCTGGCAACAAATGGTTAGAATTTGGGGGTGGAGGAAGACAAACAGGACAAGATAAAATCATTTTAGTACTAGTAATCCTTCTAAATTTGTATTGTAGTAGAAGCCTTACACAGAGATAAATTATTCTTGTTTTAACAATGTGTTTTTTTGTTCGTTTCTTTCTTTGGTCTTTTTTTTTTTTTAGGACAGAATCTTGCTCTGTTGTTCTGTCGCCCAGGCTGGAGTGCAGTGGTGCAATCTTGGCTCACTGCAGCCTCTGCCTCCTGGGTTCAAGTGATTCCCATATCTCTGCCTCGCTAGTAGCAGGGACTACATGCGCATGCCACCATGCCCAGCTAAGTTTTGTATTTTCAGTAGAGATGGAGTTTTGCCACACTGGCCAAGCTGCTCTTGAACTCCTGACCTCAGATCATCCACCTGCCTCAGCCTCCCAAAGTGTTGGGATTACAGGCATGAGCCACCACGCCTGGCCTAACTAACTATGTGTCTTTAAAAGCAAGAACCTACCCGTGGGATTGGCATATTACATACTTTTGTTCCTTTAATCTCAGAGAAACTATCATTCCCATTTACAGATAGATACTCAGGTTCAAGCAGTTTATGTGTTCTTCAGTACAGGGCTACTTCAAATAATATTTGAAATAAACAGTTATTATGATGGCTAAAACTGAGTGTCAACTTGATTGGATTGAAGGATGCAAAGTGTTGTCCCTGGGAGGGTCTGTGAGTGCCAAAGGAGATTAACATTTGAGTCAGTGGACTGGAAGAGGCAGACCCACCTTCAATCTGAGTGGGCACCATCTAATTAACTTCCAGCGTGACTAGGATAAAAGCAGGCAGAGGAATGTGGAAGGACTAGACTGGCTGAGTCTTCCAGCCTTCATCTTTCTCCCTTCCTGAATGCTTCCTGCCCTGGAACGTCAAATTCCAAGTTCTTCAGCTTTTGGACTCTTGGACCTTCCACCACAAACTGAAGGCTGCACTGTTGGCTTCCCTCCTTTTGAGGTTTCAGGACTCAGACTGGCTTCCTTGCTCCTCAGCTTGCAGATGGCCTATTGTGGGACTTCACCTTGTGATCATGTGAGTCAATTCTGCTTAATAAACTCCCCTTTATATACAAATCTATCCTATTGGGTCTGTCCCTCTAGAGAACCCTTACTAATACAGTTATGTTCAAGAGCTACCCTATAACTTATCAGCCTAAAGCAATTTTTAAAATATATTTACATATTCTGCAGGTCGATATCCAGACAGAGCACAGAGGGAATGGTTTGTTTCTGTTCCAAAATGTCTGGGGCCTCTGCTTGGAGTTCTTGATGTCTCAGGATGACGTGATGGCTGCAGACTGAAATCATCTTAGGGCATTTTTACTCCTTTCTGGAAATTCATAAAGGCTGCTGGCTGGATCCTCAGGTGGTGCCGTTGACCATGGTCTCCACTCCATGTGGCTTGGGCTTCCCCTACATATATTTGGCAGCCTCAGGTTAAATGGTAGCTCTAGGCTGGGCACAGTGGCTCATGCCTGCAATCCCAGCACTTTGGGAGGCTGAGACAGGAGGATCACCTGAGGTCAGGAGTTCAAGACCAACCTGGCCAACATGCAGAAACCCTATCTCTATTAAAAATACGAAAATTAGCCAGGCATGGTGGCATATGCCTGTAGTCCCAGCTTCTCGGGAGGCTGAGGCAGGAAAATCGCTTGAACCAGGGAGGTAGAGGTTACAGTGAGCCAAGATCGCGCCACTGCACTGCAGCCTGGGCAACAGAGATAGAGTCTGTCTCAAATAAATAAATAAATAATAGCTCTAGACTCCAAAAGTGGGCATCTCAGCAAACAAGACAGAAGCTCCATTACCTTTAGTTACCTAGACTACAAAGTCACACAATGTTACTTCTGCCACATTCTACTGAATCTAATTGACTCACAAACCTTCCCAGATTCAAAGGGAGGGAGGAAGAACTGGAAGGGACATAGATACTCTCTTTCACTGGAAGGAGTGTCAAAGATTCGGTTGCCATTATTTCAAACCACCACAAGATACAAATAAATAAAAGCTAAAGTGCCTCTTAGAGCAATTCTGCTTTAATGATGTATTGTTACTACTCACAATATTCTAAGTATTATCTTTATGAAGGAGGAAATTTCAATGTAAAAAAATAGGAAGAATGAAGTATTGAGGAGGGGCTTGTAAACTCAAAGTCATACACAGGCCATGCAGCTAATGTAAATGAATGAGAGGGGCCAAGTATGTTAGTAAGGAGCTTTCCTCATCAAAGAGAAATGGGAGATCTGGGTTTTATGTGAACTCACCTGGTTTTCTAAAATGCTTTGTGGATAGGAAGACTACGAATCACAAGCTACCAGTTTGCTATTTCTGTAATTGATAGAAAATACTCATTTATTTGATAAATATATATTGAAATGACTACTGTTTGCCTGGGAATTTTCTAGGCCCTCAAAGTTAATAACAGGCAAACTCCTGTTCTTTATAAAGAGTGAGTTTTCCCATATCATTAACAAAATCCCCTGGTTAGGAGAAAATGAGTTTACTCTTATCTTGCACATCGACTTTGTAGAAACAGAAATAACTGTCCATCTGTTCTGAAACTTTATAGAATCATTATTTGTTCCATTGGCCCAACAAATGGGCTGTCATCAGTAATTGCCCAGTGTACTGTGAATACTTTCACTGACATTGTGTCAAGTCTAACTCAGATTTCTGAAAGATTCTTTGATCAGTGTTCAAACACTTTACTGCTGTACTCACATACCTTGCACTTTAAAGTTAGAACATTTTTACAGTGAAATGCTCTCTATCTTTTGTAATAAATATGTGATGAATATGCCCTCCTCTACTCTGCTAAGTCATCCCAAGAAATATCTGAACCCCAAAGGGATCACACAAATTAGTAACCCTTCCTGTTATTATAGTTATCATTAAACAATAACCTTTAAGGCTTTTATTTCCAGCCAAGATGCAGTAACAGAGACCCTTACTTCCTCAACAGAGAAAATTCACACAAAATATGTAAAACAATGGTTTTCAAGACATTGGCCATTGGTCAACAAAGGACAGTGGTTCCTGGGAGGAAGAAACGAATGAGGGGAGTGCCAAAGTTATCCAAGCTTACTCCATTGAGAGAGTTTCCAGCCCAGAGCACAGGAAGGGAAGCCCAGGTAGAGCTGGGTAGAGTCACTGATTGAGGATAAAGACACGAGAGTCCAAAAAGAGCAAGACAGCTAGAGTTCATAGGACAGAGCACCAGAGAGGAAAGAGTCACATAGAGAGAGATTCAGTACATCTGCAGAGAATTCCCCTGGAGTATTCAGCATAGTACCTGGCAAATATCTGGCATCCAATCAAAACTTACCAGGCTTGCAAATAAATTGGAAAATAGATTCCATAAGAGGGAGAAAAATCAGTCCATTGAAGCCAACACAGAATTGACCCTAATGGAAGGTATATTAAAATTATTATAATTGTATTCTAGATATAAAACAAGAACTAGAAGAAAGATTATACATGCTAAGTAGAAACATGGAGGAGATAAAAAACATCCATATTGAATTTAGGGAAATAAAAACTACAATGTATAAGAGGAAAAATACACTGAATAAGATTAGACATTGCGAAGGAAAAGATTAGTAAATTTAAAGACATAAAAGCAGAAACTACCCAAAATGTAAAAGAGAAAGAAACAGGGAATAAGAGAAAGATGAACAGAGCATCAGTGAGCTGTGGGACAACTTCAAGCAGTGTAATGTATGTGTGATTGGAGTGCGTGAAGGATTACAGAGACAGAAAATAAATTTGAAGAAATAATGGCTGATTTTTCAGAATGCACGCATTCTTTTCAACTTCACACAGAACATTTACCAAGACAGATCATATTATGAGCCATAAAACAAATAAATAAATTTTAAAGGATTTAAGTCATACAAAATATGTTCCCAGACTCCAATACAGTTAAATAAAACATTAATAATACAATGATATGTAGAAAACCCCCAAACATTTGGAAACTAATTCATTTTTTAAAAATTCATGGATTTAAAAAAAAATCGAAAGGTGTATTACATAGTATTTTGAAACTAATGAAAATAAAAGCATTCATATTAGCATTTTCATGGAATACTACTAAAACATTACTTAGAAAGAAATTTATAGCCCCAAATGGCTATATTAGAGAAGAAAAAAGGTCTCAAATCAATGCCCTTACCTTTCACTCTATGAAACCAGAAAGAGAATTACAAATGAAACCTAAAGTAAAAGAAAAAAAAAGAAAGTAATAAAGATTAGAGCGGAAATCAATTTAATGTTTAAAAAGAGAAAAATTAATGAAACCAAAAGCTAGGTCTTTGGGAAGATCAATAAAATTGATAAATCTCTAGCCCAACTAATCAGGAAAAAAAGAAGACACAAATTGCCAGTAGCAGGTATAAAAAAGTCTACATATCATATCACTATTAAGTCTACAGACATTAAGAGAACTATAAGGGGATACTATAATGATATTATAAATAATTGTATGTTGATTCTTTTAACAGCTTACATGAAATAGACAAATTCCTTGAAAGACCTAAAATAACAAAGTTCACAAAGAAGAAATAGATATCCTGAATAGGCCTATATTTATAAATGAAATTAGGTTTATAGCTAAAAACCTTCAAACAAAAAAACACTCCAGGCCCAGATGACTTTACTGGAAAATTTTACTAAAACCTATAATGAAAAAATAATACCAATTCTACACAAATTCTTTGAGAAATTGTACGAAGACAGAATTATTCCCAACTTCTTTTATGAAGCTAACATTGCCCTGATACTAAATCCAGACAAAGATATTATGAGATGAGAGAACTACAGAGAAAAATTTCTCATGAATATAGATGTAAAAATTCTCTAAATTTTAGGAAATTGACTCAAATAACATATAAAAATGATAATACCTCATGACTATGTGAGATTTATTCCAAGAATGCAAGATTGGTTTACCACTTAAAAATCAGTCAATATAATTCATTATATTAATAACAAAAATATATAATCATCTTAAACATGCAAAAAACATTGACAAAATCACACATCCATATCCATTCCTGATAAAACCCTCAGCAAACTAGATATATAAAGGAACTTCCTCAACCTAATAAAGAGGTTCCATGGAAAACCCATAGCAAACCTGATACTTAAGACTGAAAGACTGACTGCTTTCTTTCTAATACTAGGTATAAGACAAAATGTCTACTCTTACCACTTCTATTCAACATTGTACTGCATAGTCAAGCTGTCAATAAGGCAAGGAAAAGAAATAAAAGGCATCCTATTTCTTTTCCTTGAGTAAAACTGTCTTTATCCACAGACGATATGAGAGTCCATAGAGAAAATATAATAAAATCCATCAAAAAGCTAAAAGAACAAATAAATGAATTCAGCAAGTTTGCAGGATATAAGACTATATGTAAAAAATCATTTTTATTTCTCTTTACTAACAACAATCAGAAATTAAAATTTAAAAGCAATATCATTTATGACAGCGTTGAAAAGATTAAATATTTGTAGATAAACCTGACAAAAGATGTGCAAGACTTATATATTAAAAACTACAAAACATTGTTTAGAGACATTAAAGACGACCTAAATAAATGGAGAAATATGTTCTATGTTCACTAATTGAAAGATTTGTATGTTAAGGTGTAAATCCTCCTAAATTGAATTATTTGATGTTGGCCAGATGAGAGAGTTACAAATTTTCCCTCTACAGTGAAGAATCACCAAGCCTTCAGTTTCCTTCAAAAATCCAACTTCTGGATCTTTCTGTAGCCCTCTGCTTCACGTTTCTGCATTATACAACAAAGCTCTGGCTTTTCTATTCCTTAAAACACTTATACAATATTAAAGATGAGACAAGGAGCCACAAAGATTCCAGTTTTGCTTCAAAGATACCTCTCAGGGCATCTGAACTCCATAAATCTACCTGGCATCAGCATGGCATGAGCTAATATCATAAGAAGAAGCCTGATGTGATTGCAGGAAAACACAAAACAAAGAACATACAAAGAAGAAAAGTTATCTTTGCCTTTTCTTGTGTAAATATGAATTCATCCTTAACAACTGCAAAATATGCACCAAAGAGTCAATACTACTTTCCTTATACATTCACAACATGCATGAGTACATTATGTGACTCAGAACAGAGTCCAGAGGTGGTCTGCATTCAAATTCTAGCTCCACCACAAATTTTCTGGGTTTAAATGGCTTAACTTCTCTGTCTCCATAAACTGGAGAGAATGCACAAATCTAAATCACAGAATTATTGGGAGGATTCAATGAGACTTTCAACATGAAGCACTTAACACAGTACCTGGAGCATAATTAAGTGTTCATTAAATAGTAACAATGTTTATAATTATTACATTTATTAATGATGACAATTATTATGATTAACATTTTTAGTGACACCTGAGATTTTGTCACCTTTTATATTGAATTCAATGTTTTTTAGGGTCTGGCATGTGAAATGTATGAGCTAGGAAATGTAAAAATAATGCATAATGCTTACATTTAAGAGTTTTCAATTTAAAGGGAAGAAGGAAAGGTGAAGGGGGCATTTATAGTCTTATTCTGTCTTCTACAAGCATTCTTCTTGGGGCTATAGCTGTTAGGAAAATCCCCTCTACTATTAACATTTATGAAGCCATGGATTTGTGTTGTAGAAGGCATATCTCACTGTTCTGCCCTTTCTGCATTTGCTTCACCTGTGTTTAAGGGGGAATAAAGCTGTGTCAAGGAGAAAAGGTCACCCACCCATATTGGTGTTTCCTCGGAGAAGTTGTCTGAGTAGACTGCAGAGGGACAGTGGTGCCCGGACCAGACACCATGGGGCTAGGGGCAGAGTCATCCTATACCTCTGAGCCCACCTGATTGGGAGCATTGTCCCAGGCTACCTCCATGCCAGGGGAGAAGTAGCCTGTCTAAGCCCCCAAAAGCTTTCTCATGGAGGGAGAAAAAAGGGAAGCTGTCAGCTTAAATAGCTGAACACAGAAGGTTTAATCAGTAGAGAGCCCCTCATTCAAGTAACATGAGACCTGGGAGAAAAAGGCAAGAGAAGAGCTGGAATCCAGTCAGGGTTTTTTTCCCCTTTCTTTCTTTTGCCAAAGCTCTTATTGGCTATGGGGGAAGGGAGGAAAAGAGAAGAGTTGCATGACACAAAAGAGACTGCTCAGAGCTGATGCCAATTTTGTACCTTAGAATTACTGAGTTGAGGGGTATTGGGGCCTCTCCCCAGATCTCAGTAGATGAGTGAAAATGCTTCTTTCAAAGCCATTTACTCAAGGAAAGCAAAGCATACCATTAGGAATCAATGCCAAGGTTTGGTGGGGGTTTTGCTGCATTTGGAAGGAGGGGTAAAAATTCATGATAAAAAGTAAAGATGTTAAAGAGGTAAAAACAAATAGTATAGTAGAGTGAAAAAAAAGAAATCCTGTCATTTGATAGCTGGTAGGGAGCTTTGCTTATGGGGTGCACTGTATATGTAAGTGGTTCATGTCTCTGGGCTTCTTTGGGTGGAAGGTTCTATAAGGTAACAATGAAATAAGAAGACAGCCAAACTTTTTTGCATAGAAAGTTAATGGGAATTTAGAACTGGACAGAGCAGCAAGGGATAAGGTGAGAACACCATGGTGGAAGGCAGAGCATACAGCGAAGAGTAATGATTGGGAAATTCTGGCATGTTTTTAAAAGATTTGATGTTGAATATGTACTTTTAAGTTGTTTGCAATTTCAAAATGTCAGCATCTCTGCCACTCAGGCTTAGAGCAAAATCTGCTCAACCCACCAAAGCCTGGTGGGAACAGCTTGGGGTAAGCAAGGTAAGCGGGCTATATTCCTAATCTGGGAGGCAGAGAAAGAGAACAGAAGCCAGATGTGAGAACTGAATATGTTTTAGAGTCCACTAATTCCACTAATTTGACAGAGAATTTTCACACACTCCCTCCCTCCCCCTGCTCTAGCTCCTTTTCCCCCACAACACAAACGTGAATCCCCAAGGAAGAAACACTGCCCTTTCCCTCTGCAGGTGGGATGGGAATTCGTGCCAAATTTTATATACATCCAAAGGGCAGAGTGACCTCAGCTTATCCTTGGGTTAAATTAATTAGCACACAAAGCAAAACTTGGTCACTGAGAACTTCCCAAAAGAGCATATGAGACAAGACTCTTCCAGCTGCAAATTGGCTTAAGCACAAAGAGCAACTTAGCCCCGGAAGCCCAAACCATGGAAAAGGGAGGAGTGAAAGCAGTTTCAAGACTGATAACATCCAAAGCTTCAAATATTGTAGGGGACCCCCCTCCATCTTCCATTTGTCCCTCTTTCAGTGGGTCTGTTTCATTCTTTCTACAGAAACTCATCCCTGTAGATTTTTAGGTTAGCTTCCAGAGGAAGGTAATTTGTCCAAACAAACAAAATATACCCAGAAAGTATGGAGAAAACATTACACAGTGTATGTTACATCAATCATACTTCTAGATGTTGATGCCAAAAAAGCTTTCTGATTTTCGTCTTTGATAGGTTGGCAGTACACCTTACTCCAGGAGTGGGTTTCTCACAAAAGGATAAGTTCTGCCCCCTTTTGTCACTCTTTCTTGTTCAGGCTTCTGCCATGGGACAACACAACCAGAAAGCCCTCACCAAGTGCAGGTCCTTCAAACTTTGACTTCCCAGCCTCCAGAACTGTGAGAAACAAATTTCAGTTCCTTATAAATTACTCAGTCCGTGGTATTCGGTTATAGTAGCACAATACACACTAACATATACCATGTACTTTTTCTTCAATGTACCCATCATATTTGTGATTTTATGTTTAGGTGATTCTTTGATTAATGTAAGCTCCATGACGGCAGGAATCATGTCTATTTTGCTACTGTTACTTCCCCAGCACCCAGCACATGGCCTGCCACAAAATACGTACTTCATAACTATTTTGAGTAAATGAACAAATGAATGAACTAATGAATAAGCACATGAAAGAATAAATTGATGGATGAATGGATGAGGAAGGAGGACTAGGGTAATAATCAAGAATAATGGGGGTTCCAAGATGGCTGAATAGGAACAGCTCCAGTGTACAGCTCCAAGTGTGAGTGACGCAGAAGATGGGTGATTTCTGCATTTCCAACTGAGGTACTGGGTTCATCTCACTGGGGCTTGTCAGACAGTGGGGGCAGGACACTGGGTGCAGCTCACTGAGCATGAGCCAAAGCAGGGCAAGGCATCACCTCACCCAGGAAGTGCAAGGGGTCAGGGAATTCCCTTTCCTAGCCAAGGGAAGACATAATGGATGGCACCTGGAAAATCGGGTCACTCCCATCCTAATACTATGCTTTTCCAACAGTCTTAGCAAACGGCACACCAGGAGATAATATCCTGCGCCTGGCTCAGAGGGTCCCATGTCCACGGAGCCTCGCTCATTGCTAGCACAGCAGTCTGAGATTGAACTGTAAGGCAGCAGCGAGGCTGGGGGAGGGGCGCCTGCCTTTGCTGAGGCTTGAGTAGGTAAACAAAGCGGCTAGGAAGCTAGAACTGGGTGGAGCCCACTGCAGCTCAAGAAGTTGTGCCTGCCTCTGTAGACTCCACCTCTTAGGGCAGGGCATAGCCAAACAAAAGGCAGCAGAAACCTCTGCAGACTTAAATGTCACTGTCTGACAGCTTTGAAGAGAGTAGTGGTTCTCCCAGCATGGAGTTTGAGATCTGAGAACGGACAGACTGCCTCCTCAAGTGGGTCCCTGACCCCCGAGTAGCCTAACTGGGAGGCACCCCCCAGCAGGGGCAGACTGACACCTCACACAGCTGGGTACCCCTCTGAGATGAAGCTTCCAGAGGAACAATCAGGCAGCAGCAACATTTGCTGTTCAGCAATATTCGCTGTTCTGCAGCCTCCGCTGCTGATACCCAGGCAAACAAGGCCTGGAGTGGCTCCAGCAAACTCCAACAGACCTGCAGCTGAGGGTCCTGGCTGTTAGAAGGAAAACTAACAAACAGAAAGGACATCCACACCAGAACTCCATCTGTATGTCACCATCATCAAAGACCAAAGGTAGATAAAGCCACAAAGATGGGGAAAAAACAGAGCAGAAAAGCCGAAAATTCTAAAAATCAGAGTGCCCCTCCCCCTCCAAAGGAATGCAGCTCCTCGCCAGCAATGAAACAAAGCTGGACAGAGAATGACTTTGACGAATTGAGAGAAGAAGGCTTCAGACGATCAAACTTCTCCTAGCTAAAGGAAGAAGTTCGAAACCATTGCAAAGAAGCTAAAAACCTTGAAAAAAGATTAGACGAATGGCTAACTAGAATAAACATTGTGGAGAAGTCCTTAAATGACCTGATGGAGCTGAAAACCATGGCACGAGAACTACATGACGAATGCACAAGCTTCAGTAGCTGATTCAATCAACTGGAAGAAAGGGTATCAGTGATTGAAGATAAAATGAATGAAATGAAGCGAGAAGAGAAGTTTAGAGAAAAAAGAGTAAAAAGAAATGAAAAAAATCTCCAAGAAATACGGGACTATGTGAAAAGACCAAATCTATGTCTGGTTGGTGTACCTGAAAGTGATGGGGAGAATGGAACCAAGTTGGAAAACACTCTGCAGGATATTATCCAGGAGAACTTCCCCAACCTAGCAAGGCAGGCCAACATTCAAATTCAGGAAATACAGGGAACGCCACAAAGATACTCCTCTAGAAGAGCAACTCTAAGACACATAATTGTCAGATTCACCAGAGTTGAAATGAAGGAAAAAATGTTAAGGGCAGCCAGAGAGAAAGGTCGGGTTACCCACAAAGGGAAGACCATCAGACTAACAGCAGCTCTCTTGGCAGAAATTCTACAAGCCAGAAGAGAGTGGGGGCCAATATTCAACATTATTAAAGAAAAGAATTTTCAACCCAGAATTGCATATCCAGGCAAACTAAGCTTCATAAGTGAAGGAGAAATAAAATCCATTACAGACAAGCAAAGGCTGACAGATTTTGTCACCACCAGACCTGCCCTACAAGAGCTCCTGAAGGAAGCACTAAACATGGAAAGGAAAAACCGGTACAAGCCACTGCACAAACATGCCAAATTGTAAAGACCATTGATGCTAGGAAGAAACTTCATCACTAACGAGCAAAATAACCAGCTAACATAATAATGACAGGATCAAATTGACACATAACAATATTAACCTTAAATGTAAATGGGCTAAATGCTCCAATTAAAAGACACAGACTGGCAAATTGGATAAAGAGTCAAGACCCATCAGTGTGCTGTATTCAGGAAACCCATCTCACGTGCAGAGACACACACAGGCTTAAAATAAATGGATGGAGGAAGATCTACCAAGCAAATGGAAAACAAAAAAAGCAGGGGTTGCAATTCTAGTCTCTGATAAAACAGACTTTAAACCAACAAAGATCAAAAGAGAAAAAGAAGGCCATTACATAATGGTAAGGGGATCAATTCAACAAGAAGAGCTAACTATCCTAAATATAATGCACCCAATACAGGAACACCCAGATTCATAAAGCAAGTCCTTAGAGACCTGCAGAGAGACTTAGACTCCCACACAATAATAATGGGAGACTTTAACACCCCACTGTCAACATTCGACAGATCAACGAGACAGAAAGTTAACAAGGATACCCAGGAATTGAACTCAGCTCTGCACCAAGCAGACCTAATAGACATCTACAGAACTCTCCACCCCAAGTCAACAGAATATACATTCTTCTCAGCACTACATTGAACTTATTCCAAAATTGACCACATAGTTGGAAGTAAAGCACTCCTCAGCAAATGTAAAAGAACAGAAATTATAACAAACTGTCTCTCAGACCACAGTGCAATCAAACTAGAACTCAGTATTAAGAAACTCACTCAAAACCGCTCAACTACATGGAAACTGAACAACCTGCTCCTGAATGACTACTGGGTACATAACAAAATGAAGGCAGAAATAAAGATGTTCTTTGAAACCAGTGAGAACAAAGTCACAACATACCAGAATCTCTGGGACACATTTAAAGCAGTGTGTCGAGGGAAATTTATAGCACTAAATGCCCACAAGAGAAAGCAGAAAAGATCTAAAATTGACACCGTAACATCACAATTAAAAGAACTAGAGAAGCAAGAGCAAACACATTCAAAAGCTAGCAGAAGGCAAGAGATAACTAAGATCAAAGCAGAACTGAAGGAGATAGAGACACAAAAAACCCTTCAAAAAATTAATAATCCAGGAGCTGGTGTTTTGAAAAGATCAATAAAATCGATAGACTGCTAGCAAGACTAATAAAGGAGAAAAGAGAGAAGAATCAAATAGATGCAATAAAAAATGATAAAGGGGATATCACCACCAATCCCACACAAATACAAACTACCATCAGAGAATACTATAAACACCTCTCTGCAAATAAACTAGAAAATCTAGAAGAAATGGATAAATTCCTCGACACATACACCCTCCCAAGACTAAACCAGGAAGAAGTTGAATCTCTGAATAGACCAATAACAGGATCTGAAATTGAGGTAATAATTAATAGCCTACCAACCAAAAAAAGTCCAGGACCAGACGGATTCACAGCCGAATTCTACCAGAAGTACAAGGAGGAGCTGGTACCATTCCTTCTGAAACTATTCCCATCAATAGAAAAAGAGGAAATCCTCCCTAACTCATTTTATGAGGCCAGCATCATCCTGATACCAAAGCCTGGCAGAGACACAACAACAACAAAAAGAATTTTAGACCAATAACCCTGATGAACATCAATGCAAAAATCCTCAATAAAATACTGGCAAACTGAATCCAGCAGCACATCAAAAAGCTTATCCACCATGATCAAGTGGGCTTCATCCCTGGAATGCAAGGCTGGTTCAAAATATGTAAATCAATAAACATAATCCAGCATATAAAGAGAACCAAAGACAAAAACCACATGATTATCTCAATAGATGCAGAAAAGGCCTTCAACAAAATTCAACAGCCCTCCATGCTAAAAACGCTCAAAAAATTAGGTATTGATGGGACGAATCTCAAAATAATAAGAGCTATTTATGACAATCCCATAGCCAATATCATACTGAATGGGCAAAAACTGGAAATATTCCCTTTGAAAACTGGCACAAGACAGGGATGCCCTGTCTCACCACAACTATTCAACATAGTGTTGGAAGTTCTGGCCAGGGCAATCAGGCAGGAGAAAGAAATAAAGGGTATTCAATTAGGAAAAGAGGAAGTCAAATTGTACCTGTTTGCAGATGACATGATTGTATATTTAGAATACCCCATTGTCTCAGCCCAAAATCTCCTTAAGCTGATAAGCAAATTCAGCAAAGTCTCAGGATACAAAATCAACGTGCAAAAACCACAAGCATTCTTATACACCAATAACAGACAAACAGAGAGCCAAATCGTGAGTGATCTCCTATTCACAATTGCTTCAAAAAGAATAAAATACCTAGGAATCCAACTTACAAGGGAAGTGAAGGACCTCTTCAAGTAGAACTACAAACCACTCCTCAACGAAATGAAAAAGGACACAAACAAATGGAAGAACATTCCATGCTCATGGATGGGAAGAATCAATATCGTGAAAATGGCCATACTGCCCAAGGTAATTTATAGATTCAATGCCATCCCCATCATGCTACCAACGACTTTCTTCACAGAATTAGAAAAACTGCTTCAAAGTTCGTATGGAACCAAAAAAGAGCCCACATTGCCAAGTCAATCCTAAGCCAAAAGAACAAAGCTGGAGGCATCACACTACCTGACTTCAAACTATACTACAAGACTACAGTAACCAAAACAGCGTGGTACTGGTACCAAAACAGACATAAAGACCAGTGGAACAGAACAGAGCCCTCAGAAATAATACCACACATCTACAGCCATCTGGTCTTTGACAAAACTGACAAAAACAAGAAATGGGGAAAGGATTCCCTATTTACTAAATGGTGCTGGGAAAACTGGCTAGCCATATGTAGAAAGCTGAAACTGGATCCTTTCATTACACCTTAGACAAAATTAATTAAAGATGGATTAAAGACTTAAACAGTAGACCTAAAACCATAAAAACCCTAGAAGAAAACCTAGGCAACACCATTCAGGACATACACATGGGCAAGGACTTCAGTCTAAAACACCAAAAGCAATGGCAACAAAAGCCAAAATTGACAAATGGGATCTCATTAAATTAAAGAGTTTGTGCACAGCAAAAGAAACTACCATCAGAGTGAACAGACCACCTACAGAATGGGAGAAAATTTTTGCAATCTACTCATCTGACAAAGGGCTAATATCCAGAATCTACAAAGAACTCAAACAAATTTACAAGAGAAAAACAACCCCATCAAAAAGTGGGTGAAGGATATAAAAGACACTTCTCAAAAGTAGACATTTATGCAGCCAACAGACACATGAAAAAATGCTCATCATCACTGGCCATCAGAGAAATGCAAATCAAAACCACAATGAGATACCATCTCACACCAGTTAGAATGGCGATCATTAAAAAGTCAGGAAACCACAGGTGCTGCAGAGGATGTGGAGAAATAGGAACACTTTTACACTGTTGGTGGAACTGTAAACTAGTTCAACCATGGTGGAAGACAGTGTGGCAATTCCTCAAGGATCTAGAACTAGAAATACCATTTGACCCAGCCATCCCATTACTGGGTATATACCCAAAGGATTATAAATCATGCTGCTATAAAGACAAGTATGTTTATTGTGGCATTATTCACAATAGCAAAGACTTGGAACCAACCCAAATGTCCATCAATGATAGACTGGATTAAGAAAATGTGGCACATACACACCATAGAATACTATGCAGCCATAAAAAATGATGAGTTCATGTCCTTTGTAGGGACATGGATGAAGCTAGAAACCATCATTCTCAGCAAACTATAACAAGGACAAAAAACCAAACACCGCATGTTCTCACTCATAGGTGGGAATTGAACAGTGAAAACACTTGGACACAGGAAGGGGAACATCACACTCCAGGGCCTGTCGTGGGGTTGGGGGAGGGAGGAGGGATAGCATTAGTAGATATACCTAATGTAAATGACGAGTTAATGGGTGCAGCACACCAACATGGCACATGTATACATGTGTAACAAACCTGCAAGTTGTGCACATGTACCCTAAAGTATAATAAAAAAAAAGAATAATGGCTTTCAGGCATTGTATATTTTCTTTTAAATTAAAGGGGAGGGAACATTTATATTGCTCTGCATATGTGACTGACATTAAGCTACATATTGTGGATTTGATTTAAAATCAGATCATCCTGATTCTAATGCCCATGGCCTATTAACTCTACTCTGTGGCCTTCTACAAACCAGATGATAAGTTGGAAACCAAGGAAACTAAGAAATGCAGAAGAATCAATTATTTCTTAAAGATATTTATAATCTATAGGGCCAATGAACATCAGTTTATATAACAGACACTTAGGTATCACTTGCTGTGTGCCAGGCATGGTTCTAATGCTTTACAAATATTAACTCGTTGCAGTGAGCTGTGTTCTAGTGACTGCACTCCAGCCTGGGTGACGAAGCAAGACGGTGTCTCAAACAAACAAACAAAACAAAACAAATATATATATATATAAAATATATATATAATATACGATATATATAATATATAAGATACATTATACACAGTATATATAATATATAAGATACATTATACACGGTATATATAATATATAAGATACATTATACACGGTATATATAATATATAAGATACATTATACATGGTATATATAATATATAAGATACATTATACACGGTATATGTAATATATAAGATATATTATACACGGTATATGCAATATATAAGATATATACGGTATATGCAATATATAAGATATATTATATATGGTATATGTTATATTATAGATGGTATATGTAATATATAAGATATATATGGTATATGTAATATATGATATATTATAGATGGTATATGTAATATATAAGATATATTATAGACGTATATGTAATATATAAGATATATTATAGATGGTATATGAAATATATAAGATATATTATAGACATATATGTAATATATAAGATATATTATAGATGGTATATGTAATATATAAGATATATTATGGACGGTATATGTAATATAAAAGATATATTATGGACGGTATATGTAATATATAAGATATATTATGGATGTATATGTAATATATAAGATATATTATGGACGGTATATGTAAGATATAAGATATATTATAGATGGTATATGTAAGATATAAGATATATTATAGACGGTATATGTAAGATATAAGATATATTATAGACGGTATATGTAAGATATAAGATATATTATAGACGGTATATGTAAGATATAAGATATATTATAGACGGTATATGTAAGATATAAGATATATTATAGACGGTATATGTAAGATATAAGATATATTATAGACAGTATATGTAAGATATAAGATATATTATAGACGGTATATGTAAGATATAAGATATATATGGTATATGTAAGATATAAGATATAATATATATGGTATATATGATATATATAATATATATTTTTTATATATAAAATATATATCTATATTTTCATATAGTACGACCCTATGAAATGGCTTTTTTTGTTTTTTTTGAGATGGAGTCTCTGTCTGTCACCTAGGCTCCCAGGCTGGAGTGCAGTGGCATAATCACAGCTCACTGTGACCTCTGCCTCCTGGGCTCAAGCAATCCTCCTTCCTCAGCCTTGTGAGTAGCATGCCACTACACCCAACTAATTTTTGTATTTTTGGCAGACAGGTCTTCACCACATCACCGAGGCCAGTCTTGAAACCCTGAGCTCAAGCCATCCGTCCACCTTGGCTTCCCAAAGTGCTAGGAATACAGACGTGAGCTACCCTCACTGGGCCCTATGAAATAGCTTCTATTCAAAGATGTCTCTTGGAGACAAAGAGATCAGGTAACTTGCCAAAAGCTATACACATAGACAGTTGTAAAATCAAGATTTGAACCCATGTATGTGGCTCCAGAGCCCATGTGCTTAATTACCACTCTATGTAATTAAAAAAATCACTAGAGCTTAACTAAAGCCTCAAAAGATTTTTTTTCTCTTTCACAAATTCACAAATAAGGAACAGAGTTCAAGTTTTGTTCAAAACGGAGTAGGCACATTCCACTCTGTCTCTCCCACTCAACAAAACTAAAAACCCTGAACAAAATGCTCAGAGCAGCTAGTACTCTGAAAATTAAATGGCAGCAGGCGGGTTAAGGCAGAAAACCAGACTCTGAGTACCACTAGGTTAGTGATGAGTTCCCCGTATTTCCTCCCTGTAGTACCTCCTGACCCAGAGTCGAAGGCATCGTGAGATCCAGAACTTCATATGAAGAGCAAATGGGAAGGATTCCAAAAAAATCTCTATTTCTGGTCCAAGGAGTGGAAAAGAGGAGGTCCTTTGGATAAGAAATAGTGAGGAAAATGCCATTTGTTTTCTATTTGTTTTTTTTAAAAAATTTTATTTCAGCCCAGCCACCAGGGCAGTTAGACAGTGGTGGTGGTAGTGGTGGCAACAGAAGCTGGACAAGTGCCTGAAACTCAGTTGGAAGGGAGCACTTCTTTCAGACTAGAGAGGCTGATACCAAGGGTGTAAGGCTAATTGGCCCTGCTCTTTTTCTCTATATATTATCCTGCACCTAGCCCCAGAAGCAGACATATTGTGGGAAGAGAATGGCAGAGAGAAGAAATTAAGTCACAGCTTTTAAGTCCAAAAACCAGGAAAGAGGATTCCTGTGGCCCAGTTAGTATTTGGGAGATCACAGAAAGTAGACTTCAGAGAATAGTACCAAAACATTTTGTATAAACTCCTGTGCTTACCCTGAGCTATGCATACCTGAATCTGATCTCACACAACATACCAAAGACTTTAAGAACTGAACTGAATGGTAGACCACTGTTCCATCCTCAAACTAGCACCGCATGGCATTCGCATGGGGTGGGTAAAAATGGCACTGCAAAGGCTTTGAAAACTGGACTAACAAACATTGAAACAAGAGCTCAGAGGAGGCACGTAGAAACGTGTAGCCTGAACAAAACCTAGTTGGATGCCTGCTAAAACAAACAAATAAATAAATAGCATCCTTCATATAATTTAATAAAAGCAAGAGTGACTAAGATAACATTCAAAAAGTCCAGGGTACAAAGAACCAAAACAATATCAACATTTGGGAAGAAAAAAGACAAAGCACACCAACCTGAAGACAGGACAGATGCTGGGATTTCCAGACTTGGACATGAAAGCATCTCTTTTAAACATGCCCCCAAAGGTAATGGTGAATCGTGTTGCCCAGGCTGGTCTGAGGTGAATCATCTTCTAAAAATGAAAAAGATAGAAAATTTCAGTAGATAAAATATAGAAAAGATTTCTAAAAGCAAATAGAAATATTAGAGCTAATAAACCACAATAACTGGAATCAAAAGATTTAGTTGATGGGCTTAATAACCAATGAAGATGACAGAAGAAAGAGTTGGTGAACTTACAGATAGATCAATAGAAATATTAAATCTCAATAGCAGTGAGAAATGAGATTGGGGGAAGAACAGGTAAACAGATTTACAGAGATCTATAGAATAATGTCAAAAGGTCTAGTATTCATGTCATCGGAATCCCACAACGAGTTGATAAAGAATGTGGCAAAGAAAAAAAAATTATAAAGGCTCACTCCTCAAATTTGGTTAAAAAGATAAAAGAATAGATTCAAGAAGCTCAGCAAACACCAAACGGTGTGAAATTTAAGAAATCCACACTCAGATACATCAAAATCAACATGCCAAAAATTAATGACAAAGAAAACATTTTGAAAGCAGCCAGAGAGAAACAGGGCATTGCATAAAGAAGAAAAATGATTTGAATGGCTGCAGACTTCTCAGGGAAGCTGGAAGACAGTGGAACAACACATTTAAAGTGCTAAAAACCGAGAATTGTCAACCCAGAATTTGATATTCAGTGATATTTTTAGAAATAAACATGAAGTGATGACATTCTGAGGCGAAGGAAAACTAAGAGAGTTCATCTCCAGAAGACCAGCTCTTTAAGAAATACTAAAGGAAGTTCTTCAGACTGAAAGAAACTGATCCCAGAGGGAAACATAAAAGACCAGGAATGGGGAAAGAACAACAGAAATGGTAAACATATGGGTACATGGAATAGATATTTTTCCTCTTAAGTTCTTAAAAATAGATATGAAAGTTGAAAGCAAAAATTATAAAGTTTATGACATTTTCAGTGTATATAGATGTAGCACATATGAAAACTAAAAAATAAATGGAATAACATGTTCTTTATGATGCTAAGGTTTATACATCCTACTTGAAGTGGGAAAATATTAATTCTGAGTAATCTATAAAAAGTGAAGTGTTCCGTTTACCTATGTAACGAACCTGCACGTTCTGCACATGTATCTTGTTTTTTTTTAAGAAGAAATAAAGAAAAAAAGTGCAGTGTTTACATTTTAACCTCTCAAATAACCACTAAGAGATTATACAAAGAGATTATAAAAAGCTTAATAGGTAAATTAAAAATGGCATATGAAAGATATTTCAATAATCCAAAAAAGGCAAGAAAGGAAAACAGAGAAACAAAAATAGAAGAAATAAACAGAACATTTTAGTGCTTGTGTTAGAAAATAAGAAAAGTCTCAAGTCAATAGTCTATGCCTCCACCATATGAAATTCAAAAAAGAAGAACAAAATAAAATCAAAGCAAAAAATAACAAAGATAAAAATGGAAATTAATGAAACTGAAACAAGAAACTAATAGAAAAAAAAGTTGAAGTTCTTTAAAATTGATAAATCTCTAATAATATTGGCAAAGAAAAAAGAAGACATAAATTCCCAAAGTCAGGAACGAAAGATGGATTATCACAACAGAACCACAGACATTAAAAGAATATTAGATAAATACCACAAATAACTCTATGCACATAAATTTGACAATTTAAATGAAATGGGCAATTTATTTTGAAGCCCCATACTACCTTAACTCACTCAAGAAGAAATAGATAACTTGACTAGTATTCTGTCTATTAAAAATTAAATTCCTCATTCACAATTTTCTTAGAAAGAAAAATACAGGTCCAGATTCCTGATAAATTCAGCCAAGGATTTGAAGAAAAATATTTCCAATACTAAACAATCTTTACCAGAAAAAAAAAGGAAGCTCTCAGACTCATTTATGAGGCTAGAATTACTCTCATACTAAAGCCAGACAAAGTCGGCTAAAGAAAACTACAGACAAATATACATCATGAACATAGCAAAAATTCTTAACAAAATGTTAGCAAATCAAATTTAGTAACATAAAAAAAGAATAATACAACATGATCAAATAGGGTTAATCCCAGGAATGTAAGCCTGGTTCAACATATAAAAATAATTTTTAAAAATCCATCATATAATAGACTAAAGAAGAAAAAACACCTAGATATATAAATTTGTGTGAAAAAAGCAGAAAAACCAGCATTTATTTAACATGAAAACTCTCATCAAACTGGGGACTAGAAAAAAACTTTATTAATTGATAATGGGCACCCCAAAAAAAAGAAAAAAGAAAAAAACACTGCTGACCACATAAAAAAGAAAATACTGAAAGCTATTTTTCCCCAAGATCAGGAAGAAGCCAAGGATGCCCACTCTCACCACTCCTATTTACCATTATAGTGGGAATCCTACTCAATGCAATAAGTTAAGCAAAATACATAAAAGGCACACAAATTGGAGAGAAAGAAATTAAACCGTCCCCATTCACAGACATGTTTGTCTATGAAAAATAAAGAGTAGTGAATCCAGAAAAAAAGGTTCTTTGAGAGTTCAGTAAGGATAAAAGGTTAATCTACAAAAATATATCAAATTTCTATGTATTATCAATGAAAAATTAGAACCTGAAATTTGAAAAGTAATGCCATTTAAAATAGTTTCAAAATATGAAATATTTAGGTCTCTATCTAACAAAGTGTATACAGACTCCATATACTGAGAATTACAAAATTCTTGTGAAATAAATCAAAGTTCTAGGTAAATGCAGAGACAGATTATATCCATGGATTAGAACACTCAATACAGTTAAGATATAAATTGTCACCAAACTGATCTATAGATTTGATTCCATTCCAACCAAAACCCTGTCAGGATTTTTTGGCAGATACACATATGCTAATTATAAAATTTATACAGAAAGGCAAAACAATTAAAATAGAATATTACTTAAAAATAAATAAAATGAGAGGATTTACACTATTCAATTTTAACACTGCTAAAAATCTAGAGTAATCAAAACAGTGTGGTATGGGGTAAAGGGATATGCTTATAGGAAAATGGTAAAGAATACAGAGCCTATAAGTAAACTCAGACAAATATGGCCAATTGATTTTAAACAAAGATAGAAAGGCAATTCAGCAGAGGAAAGATACTTTCTAACAAATACTGTTGGAACAACTGAATATCCAACCAAAAATTAATGTCAACCTAAACCTCACACCTTATACAAAAACGTAACTAAATATGGGTCTAGATTCAAATGAAAAATACATAACTATAAAACTCTTAGAAGAACATAGAGAATCTTTATAGTTGAGGTATTGGTAGAGTTCTTAGACATGATACCAAAAAGCATAATTTGTAAAATAAAATCTTGATATATTAGATTTCTTCAAAACTATGAACTTTTCCTCTGCAAAAGACACTGTTGAGTGACATCATAGAGATGGGGTCGGGAGCATGAAGAATCAGTTCCTTCACTGAGCAACAAGTAAGATGACATAAGATTACAGAATCAGCTTTTTCACAATTCTGGGATCTAATTTAAAAATTTAGAGGTCACCAGTGATTCACATCTGTAATCTCAGCACTTTGGGAGGCCAAGGCAGGAGGATTGCTTAAGCCCAGGAGTTTGAATCTAGCCTGGGCAGCATAATGCGACCCTGTCTGTATTTTAAAAATTAAAAATTAGCCCATCATGATGGTGGATGCCTGCAGTCCCAGTTACTCAGGAGGCTGAGGTGGGGGGATGGCTTGAGCCCAGGAGGTCAAGGCTGCAGGGAGCCATGATTGTGTCACTGCACTCCAGCCTGGGCAACAGAGTGAGAACCTGTCTCAAAAATAAATAAATAAATAAATACATACATACATACATACATACATACATGCATACATACATACATACATACATACATACATAAAATTGGAGCAACTAGGGGAGGGTTTCATGGGGAAAAAAAGTAAACTTAGATTGGAAAGCATTATGGCATTTTGCTTACCAAAACTCATAACTCATAAACTTTCATGTAAGAAACTCAGAAAATTACAAATAGAAGGGAGCTCCCTTAACATGACAAAAGGCATTCATGAAAAACCCATGGTTATCATACTTAATTGTGAAAAACCAAAAGCTTTCCTTACAAGATCAAGAACAGGCAAGAATGTCTAGTCTTACCACTTTGATTCAACATTGCACTGGAAGTTTCAGTCAGGACAACTAGGCAAAGAACAAATGAACAACGTCCAGATTGACAAGGATGAAGTAATAGTCTCTATTTGCTGATGACATACCACGCCAAAAAAAAATCATTAGCACTAATACATGAGTTCAGCAGTTTGCAAAATATCAGATAAATTTACAAAAATTAAGTGTATTCCTATACACCAGCAATGAATTGAAAATAAAATTAGGGAAACTATTTCATTTATAATAGCATTACAATGAATAAAATTATTAGGAATAAATTTCATGAAAGAAGTGCAACACTCATACCTCTAAAACTATAAAGTGTTGTTGAAAGGAATTAAAGATCTAAATAAATGGAAAGACATCCTATAATCATAGATTGGAGACTTAATATTATGGTCAACACTCCCTAAATTGATCTACAAATTCAGTGCAATCCCTACCAAAATCTCAGATGGCTCATTTGCATAAATGGACAAGTTGATTCTAAAATTCATATGAAAATGAAAGGGAGTCAAGAGCCAAAACAATATTGAAAAGGAAGAACAAAGATGTAGGACTCACACTTCCAGAATCAAAAATTTACTATAAAGCTAGTGTAATTATGATTTTGTGAGACTTCTATAAGGATAGGCTACAGATCAATGAAATAGATGAGAGTCCAGAAATAAACCCATAAACTTATGGGCAATGATTTTCGACAAAGGTGCCAAGATAATCCAGTAAGTAGAATATAGTCTTTTCAACAAAAGGTGCTGGAACAACTGCCTGACCACATGCAAAGGAATAAAATTGAATCCTTTCCTCATATCACATACAAAAACTAGCTCAAAATGGATTTTAGACCTAAATGCAAGAGCAAAAACTATAAAACACTTAGAAGAAAATATAAGGACAAATTTTTGTGACATTGGATTAGGCAATGATTTCTTAAATATGACACCAAAAGCATAAGCAACAAAAGAAAAAAAGTAAATTGGACATCATCAAAATTAAAAACTTTATTGTTAAAGGACATCATCAAGACACTGAAAAACACCTGCAGAATGGAGGAAAATTTTTGCAAATCTTATATCTGATAAGAGATTAGCCTCTAGTATACATAAAAAACCCTTACAACTCAACAATATAAAGACAAGTAACCCAATTTAAAAATTGGCAAAGAATTTAAGTAGACATTTCATCAAAGGAGATATGCAAATAACCAATAAGCACATGAAAAAAATATTCAACATCATTAGTCATTAGGAAAGTACAAATCAAAGCCACCATGAAACACCACTTCATGCCCACTAGTATTGTTATAATCAAAAAGATAAACAACAAGTTTCAGCAAGGATGTGGAGAAATTGGAAGCCTTATACATTTTTCATGGGAATGTAAAATGGTGCATCCACTGTAAGAAGGCCCACAGTTATCATACTTAATGGTGAAAGACCGAAAGCTTTCCTTGCAAGATCAGGAACAGGCAAGGATGTCTAGTCTTACCACTTGTCACTTCCATTTTATCAATTCCTCATGATGGTCAACATAGAGTTTTCATATGACTTAGAAATTCTACTACTAAAGAATTCCATCCAAAAGAATTGAAAAAATATATCCATACAAAGCCTTGTACATGAGTGGTCATAGCAGCATTATTCATAATAGCCAAAAAGTGGAAACATCCCAAACACCCATCAACTGATGAATGAATATACAAGGTATGTTATATTCATATAATGGAATGTTACCCAGCTAGAAAAGGAAATGAAATATCCGTATGTGCTGTGACATGAATGAACATTAAAATTTTAATGCTAAGTGAAAGAAGCCAGTCACAGAAGACCACATACGTGTGATTCTATTTATATGGAATATCAGAATAGGCAAATAGGCATAGAAATTGTATCAGTGGTTTCCAGGGGATGCTGGGAAGGGGAGAATGGGGAATAACCAGTAATGAGTATAGAGTTTCTTTTTGGTGTGATGAATGTGCTCTGAAATTAGTGGTGATAGTTGCACAACTTTATGCATAAGCTAAAAAAATTCCACTAAGTTGTACACTTCAAAATGGTGAGTTTTATGGTATATGAATTATTTCTCCATTTTCAAAAATGGGCAGAAGCTATGAGATACCACTATATACCTAGAAGAATGGCTAAAAATAAGATGTAACTGGCAACGCCAAGTACTGGTAAGGATGTGGAGCAAATGGAACTCTCATGCATTACTGGTGGGAATGCAACATGGTATTGCCACTCTGGGAAACATTCTGATGGTTTCTTATAAAGTTAAATACAGACTTATATGACCCAGCCCTTCTACTTTAAGTATTTACCATCCCCCACCCTGCCACACACACACACCAAGAAATGAAAGCATATGTCCCCGTAAAGGCTGGCCATGTAAATGCTCATAGACAATTTATTTGTAATCACTAAAAGCTAAAACAATGCAAATGTTGTTTAATTGTCAAACATAAACTTTGGTACATCCATATGATGGCATACCACTCAGTCACAGAAAAGGAATGCTTTATTGATAAATGCAGCAATATGGATGGATTACGATGACATTAATGAAGAGTGAAAAAAAGTCTCAAAACATTAGATTTATTTTTCCATTTACATGACATTCTGAAAAAGACAAAGTGTAGGGATGGAGAACAGATCAGCAGTTGCCAAAGGTGGATAAAAGATTTGACTGCAGGCCGGGCGCGGTGGCTCACGCCTGTAATCCTAGCACTTTGGGAGGCCGAGACGGGCGGATCACGAGGTCAGGAGATTGAGACCATCTTGGCTAACACGGTGAAACCCCGTTTCTACTAAAAATACAAAAAATTAGCCGGGCGTGTTGGCGGGCGCCTGTAGTCCCAGCTACTTGGGAGGCTGAGGCAGGAGAATGGCATGAACCTGGGAGGCGGAGCTTGCAGTGAGCCGAGATCGCGCCACTGCACTCCAACCTGGGAGACACAGCGAGACTCCGTCTCAAAAAAAAAAAAAAAAAAAAAAAGATTTGACTGCAAAAGAGTATCACAACGGAGCTCTTGGGGCATGATGGAATCCTGGCTGTGGGAGTGGTTATGAGAATCCATGCACATGTTAAAATTCATCGACCTGTATATGCTACACACACACAGAGAGAGCTTACAAACACAAAAGAGAAGAAATAAAATAAAGGGTACAGAATAAATAATCCGAGACTTCACAAGATGCCAACATATATCCCTTCTTAAGATTTGTAATCTAGATGAAGAGACAAAATTAACAAATTCTAGAGAGCTATCACTAAAAAATACTAATTCCTATCATTTGTCAAGCATTCACCCTCTGTCAAGCTCTTTACTGATACTTCTGTCATCTAATCCTCTCAACATTATTATGAGGTAGATAAATAGTGTCAAAGCCAAGAGTGATCCAACATCCAGCCTACCAAGCATGTAAAGACAGAAGAATGGTTTCTATCTCTTTATAGTCTCTGTCAGAAACTGGAGTTCCAGGAACACAGTGGCATGTCATTTGTCACAACTGGTTTGTTGCTTATGAAGATGTAAGGGTGTTTTTTAATGTGTATTCCTCATCATGACAACAAAACCGTCTCAGCAAGAACTTAAGTGATGATTCATATGTGCTCATCATTTCTTGCTGCCACGTGGTACCTGACACCAAATGGCTCCTGCTCTAAATAGAAATTATTGGCAACTTCTCCCCATGAGGAATGAGAGGTAATTGTCTAGTCTGAAAAATTAGATTGGTGCAATCAGAAAGGTAGTTAAGGCACAGCCAGGACTGCAGAAACTTCCCTATAGAAGAAAAATATTGTCAACATGGTAAAAGCCAGAGATTATAATGTTACTAAACCATGAATATAAACTTTGTGCAGCATCTACAGTCAGTGCTAACTTTCAGCATCATTTAAAAGCAACTGTTTTCTAGAAAATAGAATTTTCAGGTAGAGTAAGAGATCCAGTCCTAACTCAAACTCTGATTTTAAGATGTCATGCCCCTGCTCCAGAACTTCCACCAATGACCCTTTGTTTACCAAGTGAAGAGCCAACAAACCTATCTGGGTTTCGAAACCCTCCCCATTCTGCCTTCCCTTGACCACGTGGTGGAAAACTCAGCTGCCGTCTTCCCCAAGTTTTACTTTTTCCAATCTCAACCCCTGGGGCCTGATGGTCTTCTCAGTTTTCCCGGTTATTCCCCACATTTCCTGGGGAAGAACTATGATTGGCTACCCTTTGGTCAGATAACCATGCTTAGACCAATCAATTGTGACCAGTGAGGCTAACACAGCAGTACAATGCTGTGGGAGCAGAGCAGAAAAAGCAAAGCAGTGGTTCCAATCCAAAAAACACCTGTCTTGACCAGCCCTACGACTCTCCCTCCTCTGAATGCTTTGTTAGGATAGCTGACATATACTGAATACTTACTATATACTAAGCACTTGAGACCATTTTCATTTAATACTCAGTGAGATAACTGTTATTATGTCCGTTTTAAATTGAGAAAATGGAGGCATGTAGAGGTTATATAACTTTCCCCAAATCACAGAGATAACAGGTAATAGAACCAGGGCCTGTGCTGTGACCAAGGTGACTTGTTGCTAATTTTTAGAGTATATACTACTGAATCAACTCTGGGCACTAACATACCTTTTAAGGGAATTTATCATTTCACATTTATTCTTATGTTTCCAGCTAGATTGTGGAGGGAAGCTAGGTTTTTTCTCTTTCCCTATACCCCACACCTTAGCCCCAGATATGCCCTGCAATCAAGACCCGAGAGTGCAAGGTCCCCAGGTGAGATATGATAAGCGCCTGCCAAGGAAGGAACAGATGGGTCTGCTAAATGGTGAAATCAAGTCCCTGCCACATGAACGGCAATAAGCATCCCACATAAAATAATTATTTCTGGTTTGCTTGGCAGGTTGGATGAAGTCCGAGGGAAGGTTAATTTATCTTTCACAGCTTTGAGCCTTCAAGCTGTGGTTTCCCGAGTGAAAAGGATCTCTTTTCAATGATTCTTTGCAAGATCCATTTAGTCATGACAGAACTACCTCCTCCTCAATGAGTCACAAAGTTTATTTGGGGTCCCTTTGCTGGCTAAGAACCACGATGTAGGGATGGGCTATTTAAGTCATATGGAGATGTACATGTATAGCGAAGGTCTGTAGTAGAGTAGGTAGGATACTAAAATAGCTTCAAGTTTTAGATGCCAATTAGCTCTACCATGTAAAAGCTGTATAAGGATTGTCTCATCTGTGGAATGGGTATAAACATATATGGCTAATCAGTTTAGGAATACGATGAATATTAAATGAGATAAAGATTATTAAATAAAACTTGGAATGATTAAGGGTGCTTAGAAACTTCAAGAAACAGAATCCAGACATAAATGGAGCCTTTTGATCTATGCTGAAATGGCAAAGCTCCCGGTTTTCCCTGCCTATTAATGCTTCTGACTTTCTTTCTCACCTCTGTTTTCTGAGGCCCTCCCTTCCTCCTCTTAGGTCCTAACTGTTAAGGCTTTGCATTGCAGGATCAGAAGAACCAGTATTTTTATGTGTCTTTCAATAACCAATTGCTTACTTCCATTGAATGGTAAAGGTCTAATGTTGATAAGAATTCAGTGCCATCATTATGAATATCTGATCCAACTCAATTCAGTCTCTTTTTCACAGAAATTTAGTTTGCTCAGGCAATCCATGGTGGCCAAAGACAGTTCAAGGATTTCATCTCCAAAATGCCTGATATAATGCCCCAAAGAGACACACACTCAGTCCTCATTCAGTCTTGCTTACTCTGCCTGGGACAGAAACTATTCCCTACTTGTAGCGAAGCAGGTAATTTCACACGCTGGGAAGAGAAACATGTAATGGTAAATGTTTTGAGATTTGTCAGTGATGAAAGACATCCAAAAGTCTTTCTAAAACATAAACAGTCATAATTGCAAAAATAAAAAAGAAAAAATATTTTAGTTGATTTTAGTTGGAAAATAGTTTTAGCACTTACATTGTAAGATGACGTGTGTTGTTTCAGTAGCCTTACCCCCTTCTGTGAATAACACTTTCTGTGCATAACCTTCACCCATCTGTGCATCCCCACAGCAAATCCACATAGTTTGCTAGATATAGAATTCATGGTCAACGGTTCATTTATTTCAACACTTGAACAATATTGCATCACTTAATTCTAGCTTCCATTGTTTCAAATGAGAAGTTTACTGTTATTTGAATTGGTGTGCCCCTATAAATAATGCCTTGTCTCTGTGGTTGCTTTAAAGATTTTTTCTTTGTCTTTACTTTTCAGAAGCTTAATTATGATATGTGTTGGTGTGGACCTGTTTGTACTTATTCTGTTTGGGGTTATCCCAGCTTCTTGAATGTGTAGTTTTATGATTTTTACCAAATTTAGACAGTTTTAAGCCATTATTTTTCCTCAAATACTTCTTCAGTACTACTCTCTTTCCTCTCCTTCTGGTACTCCAATGATATAAATGTCCACTTTTTTATTATTACTCCACAGGCCCTGAGACTTTGTTCATTTTTATTTCATTCTATTTTCTTTCTGTTGTTTAGACTGGGTAAACTTTATTGATCTATCCTTAAGTTTACAGAGTCTATCCCTTATCATTTCTCTGCAATACCATTGAGCCCATCTAGTGAGCCTTTCATTACCGTATTTTTCAGTCCTATAATTTCCATTTTGCCCTTTTTATAACTTCTAATTTCTTTGCTGAGATTTTCTACTTGTTTATTTGTTTCAAGAGAATTCATAATTGCCTGCTAAAGCATTTTAAGATGGCTGCTCAAAAATCCTTATCAGATAATTCCAGCACCTAATTCATCTTGATATTAATATCTATTGATTGTCTTTTCTCCTTCAAGTTGTGTTTTTCCTGTTTCTTGGTGTGATGAGTAATTTGTATTATGTCTTGGACATTTTTGATATTATATTATGAGGCTCTAGATTCTATTTACTCTTCTATTTTAAGGAAGACCTCTCATGGCAGTGTAGTGCAAGGGCTAGGTGAACGTGTTCAGCTTTCCCCTGGGTTCCTTCCTTCAACACCACCCCAAAAATGAAGAAATGATTAATACTACCTCACTGAAGACAGATGGGGTAAAAGTTCAGTTTTGTCCTCAACCCACTGACATGTCCCTGGCAAAAATAAGGCTCCAATTCAAATCAACTTACTGCTTTTAAGTTGAAGTGTAAGCTCAGATCCCTGTTGGGCCCCACTGACACAGAGGGGAAGGAGACAGATGGTTGAAGTGCCACTTTGTTGTTACAGCATAAGAATGGAAGTTCTGCTTCTTGCTGGTTACTGGGGAACTGTGAGGAGTGAAATGTCAATTAGCTCCATGGTCTACCACTCCATTCCATCATATTGATGACAATTGGGGGTGAAGACCCATAAAAGGGGAGCAGAAACCAGAGTGCTGACTGGCCCTGCCTCACACTGCCTCATTCAGTCTTCTTGTTGCAGGTGGGTGTGGGGATTCAGCTCTCCACTGAGCCTTGTGGACATTGGGAGTTGGGAGAAGTGGAGGTGGGATGCTGACTAGCTCCAATACATGCTACCTTATTCAGTCTCATTGACGCTGGGTGTGGGTAGAGATTCAGCTTACCACTGGACCAGGTCAAACACTGTAATTTGACCCCCAGTGGTTTATTTAAGGAGGGACCTAAATTAGTCCAAGAGAACTCATTATTGGGATTTTGTGGGAACAATTGGGAAATATAGGGTTGTTAAGAAGTCCTCCCTCTTTCTGCTGCACTTGAACCTATGAAGACATCACCTGGTGACTGAGGAGACTATAGACTCATTTGGTTGCTTTATGTAGCAAACATAGAGGTTAGGAACATAGATTTGATTTCAAAGTCTAGCTCAATTATGAGACTGTGGGCACAATATACTACTGAATGAAATGGAGATAGTGAGGGTACATCTCTTACAGTATTATTTCAAGTATTTGATAAAGTAATATATGTACAGAAGTTCCACCAATGCTTGGCATGTCTTGAATTCTCACCAAATGGAGGTCATGATGAATAATTGACAATGTTGTTAATAGCAGGCCCATGTCTTCCACTTTCTTTTGTCTCTCGTAGGACTGAGTTCATGGTAAGTGCTTAATAAATATACCAGCATGAACCAATGTATCAGAAATGACCAGTTTAAACCTGGCCAACTCAATTTCATGTCCCACTGCAATACTTGTTTTAATGTAAAGATTAGAGCTAGGTGAAAAATTGCATTCTCATAATCTGCTGTCACACAACATAAAATCACTCTGTCTTCCACATTGGTCTCTCCAGAGATTCCTGTATCAAAAGAAATTTCCCATGGTACTGGCATGTATTTCTGATCTTTTAGATATCATGGAATTTCTTTTTCTACTACACTAACACCCTATTAATCTATTTTGCAGAGTGTGACATCTTACCTGGTCCCATTCCTATTTATCCTATCATGCTTTTGTTAACCTAGAGTAGTACTTCTCAACTAGAGGATACTTGGCAATGACTGAAAACACTTTTGATTGCCACAACCAGTCGGGGAGGGTAGGAGTTGACACTACTGGGATCTAGTAGTAGGGGCCAAGGATGCAGCTAAACATCCTACAATGCACAAGATGCTTCACCTCCCCCAACAAGGAAGTATTTGGTCTAAAATGCCAATAGTGTTGAAGTTGTGAATCCTTCCATAGGGGCTAAAATCAAGATTATATTTTCAAGATATTCTTGAAGCTAAAGTTCTACTTGTAGTCAATTGAAAAGCAGAAGTGAGATCCATGAGACCACAGTTGTAAAGTCCTCCTACAAACTCATCACAGAGATGTTTAGTTCTGCCAAAACCATAATTCTATTTCTAGTATTTGGTCCTTAGTTTCTGAGTGTTCAGTGTTAGATAACACCATCAAGGTTTCTATTGAAAATATCCCGCCTTATGTTATTCTTTTTTTACTCGGGTTCTTTGCTCCCAGCTGTGTGCCTTTAATCTTGTTTCTCTGGCCCTCCTAGAAATTCTTAATAACCTATAATAAATCCTTTACTTCTTAAATTAGTTAGAGTGTATTGCCTGCAATTAAGGACATTAAGTGATACAATAAATTATTATAGACAATCAATCTTCAAGAAATCGGGAATAAGAGATTGATTATAGGAACATGTTGAGTTTGAAGCCAATACAAATCCAGTTAGCATTAGAAGATGAAACTCTTGTAAGGTTTTGGAGGACTAAGTGTCAGCTGCTATGGACTACTACAAGGCACAAGGAATGAAAAGACATGAAGTGGGTTGGTGTGGTGGAATAAAGATGATCACAAGTTATTTGTCACTCACCCATCTATTCCCTCATTCCCTTGAAACTGGTCTATCCCTGTTACTTGACCCAATGAATAGAAATATAACAAGATTAATTATTTGTAACTTCAAAGGTTAAGCCTTAAGAAATCTATAATACCTACCTTTACTTCTTGGAGCACTCCTTTTTGGGATCTAGCCACCATGCTATCAGGAATCTCAAGCAACCGTGTTGAGACGCTACAGGAAGTAGAACAGAGATATCCTTAGCTGACAATCTCACCTGAACCCTTAACCAACACCCACTATCAATTCCCAGGCATTTTTGTCATTTATCTTAAATATTTCAGCCTCTGTTGACCCTCAGATGATTGTAGCACCAGTGGTCACCACTAAGCCCAGTCAATACACAAAATTGTGAGAGAAGAACTGGTTACTGTTTTAAACCACTAAGTTTTGGAGCAGTTTGTTACACAGCACTATATAACCAAAATAGCTGACTACTTTTAATTGCACTGGCAATCTCAAAAAATAAAACGACAAGTTCAGTTTTAAGTTTGCTATTCAAGGCACAGTCAGAAAATCAGAAGGTTTCTATGACTAACCTAAAATAATGTGGGTACAAAAATAAGATGCTAATTCTAATCCTGTGGGTTGCTCAAAATTTCACATAGATTGAATAAACAGCCTCACTGGATGACTTGAATACAGGCTAGATAAATGTTTGAGAAAAAATAGGATGTTGAGAACAAGAATCATGACATTTGGGGAAGATCTGAATAATTCTGAGAACCTCCAACCTTCCAAATCTGACCATTTATTGTAAACAGAAGTAGCCCCTCTTTCCCTGTCTGATGAAGCTGGCCCTGCCTCCTAGAATAACCAATACAGATATATTATAAGATATTTACTCCCACAAGAATATCAATTGTAATTTTGCATCATATAAGATATTTACTCTCCCAAGAATATCAATTAGAATTTTGCTTCAATGTACTACCTCTCATAGGATCCAGACTAAAACTAGAGTGAGATCTCAACATGCCCTGAGGCATCAGTTGTAGAATAAAAACCAGGGGAAAAAAAAGAGATGCACTAAAAGAACTGAAAGCTTATGCTAAATTAGGTCAGAAAAAAACCTGGAAAATATATGTGATAAGATCATACATCACAGAGGGAATAACATAATTCTGAATAAGGCTGAGTTTCATGCTATTAGTTTATTTACCAGAGATTCTAAAGTCAATGGGCTCACTCAAGCAGATGAGAGTGGTTCCAAATAGCTGATAGAAATCTTGACTCAGTGGTGGCCTATTATAAATAAAGTTGATAGTCATGTAATTCGTTAGTATAATGTAGAAGGAAGACTCCAAAGATAGAGATAAAGGCATGTTTGAGCAAATTTATTATACTTCGTTCACTCACCCACTTTTGAGAGGGTTCAAAAACATTCTGTTTAGCAAATCATTGAGAAACGCACTGATGAAAGGAGTGGCAGGACTCTTAAGAAACACTTCAGTGACTGCACTCTGTAAGCTAAATGTGAGAATTCAAGATGCTGCCATTAAAATGGACTTTCTGATTCAGAACAAGCGGAAGCAAAATGGGCATGACTACAATAATAGTCACTGTCTTCATCTATTTTGTGTTACTGTAACAGAATACACGAGACTGGGTTACTTATAAACAATAGAAGTTTATTTGGCTGGTGATTCTGGAGGCTGGAAAGTCCAAGAGCATGGTGCTGGCATCTGGTCAGGGTTTTAATGTTGCATCATCCCACAGTGGAAGGCAGAGGGTAAGAGAGTGCAAGAGCAAGAGAGCAAGGGGGGGCCAATCTTACTTTTACAAGTCCATTCTCATGATAACTAACCTACGCCCAATCATGACATTAATTCATTCATGAGGGCAGAGTCCTCATGTCCTAATCGCCACTTATCAAGTTTCACCTCCCAACACTGTAGCTTTGGGGATTGAGTGTCCGACACATGAACTTTTGGGGACACATTTAAATCATGGCAGGCACCATGACTGAGGAGATGATCAGAATGGTTGGATCCATTGAACTCTAGCAATGACCAATTGATCATGGGGTTCTTAAGATAGTTCATTAAGATCCAACTTGATCTGTATCATTGAAAAATTGCACATCTGGTATTAGAAGCTCAACTTGAATTAGCATGACAGAAGATAAAGGTTATGACCCAATTCTGTGGCCTAATTCTGTTTACAGACCCGGAATCCTTTGAATAAAAGAGAAACCCAGTACACTTGATGAAGAAGACTACAATTATATCCACAGTTATGTATTGCAAGTATTACCTCTATTGTTCCCCAAAGGAAACTTTGGCTTCAAACATTATACTATGCAGTGGAAAAAGGAAGATACACAGACCCTTGCAGTGCATTGGACTGAGTTATTGCGAATTATTGTGAATTCCTGAGGACTAATTGTGGACCAAAGGTTGGACTGAAACTGATAAATAGAGTTTATGCCTGAGCCTTCTAACAGTGGGTTCATTGGATACATTAACCCAATTTAGTTATTCTCCCAGTTCCTGAGTTCATAGTAGGAATAATATTCTCAGAATGCCTGCGGAATGAGAGGTTTATCGGAGAAGGACCAAAGGGAAGTTCCTACAGCTCTCTTCCATGTAATAATAGGTAGCCAAAAATAGTTCCAATTCCTACTAGAGTGCCAAGATTAAGGCCATCAACAAAATCTTAGAAGATCTACCTTATCATTGTACCATGTACTTTGCCTATTTAATCTGTGTGGAAGATAGATGGATCTGGAATAATTACAGTGGATTATTCTAAACTTAGTAAGTTTTTTACTTCAATTATAGCTACTGTTCCAGATGTAATCTGTATTAGTCAAAGTTCTCCAGAAAACAAAATATATAGGATATATTGTTAATATTGCATTATAGTAGTTAAGTTACTGGATGTGAATAAGTGTAAACATAAATCAAAGACTTTATCTCCTCTTTTGGGGAAGGAGTTCATGTGTTTTCTGTTGCATGCAGGATAGTTGTATCGTGTTATGTGGAATTATGACCTTATTATTGCCTATTTGGAGACTAAGTATGATTTAAGGGATGCATATGAGTGCCAAGTTAACAAGAAGTGGACTTCTAAGAGTTAACTTTATATTTCAACTTGACTGGATCATGGAATGCTCAGATATCTGGTTAAACATTATTTCTGGGTGTGTCTGAGGGGATATTTTCACATAACATTAGATTTGAATTGATAGACTGAGTAGCAGTTTGCCCTCCTAAATACAGGTGGGCATCATCCAATCTGTTGAAAGCCTAAGCAGAACAAAAAGGCAAATGAAGGGATAATTTGCTCTGGCTCTTGACTCTGGCTCTGTCACCCTAGTGCTTGAGTTGGGGCTTGAATCTTCTCCTGCCCTTGGCACTCATGGTTCTCAGGTCTTCAGACTCAAACTAGAATCTATACCATTGGCTTTCCATCTCTCAGGGCTTCTAGCTACAGCATCAGCCTTCCTGGGTCACCAGCTTGCAGAGAATAGATTGTGGGATTTATCAGCCTCCATAATCACTGAGGGTAAATGTGAACAAATATATGTGAATACACACACACATGCACACACACAAACACACACACACGCACTTCTATTGGATCTGTTTCTCCAAAGAACCCTGACAAATACTGATATTGGTACTGAGAAGTGGAGTGGTGCTACAGCAAATACCCAAAAATGTGGAGGCAGTTTTGGAACTTGGTATAGGGTAGAGGCTGGAAGAGTTTTGAGATGCATGCAAGAAAAAGCCAATATTGCTGTGAAAGGACTTTTAAAGGTAATTCTGGTGAGGGCTCAGAGAGAAAAGAGTAGAGATGTAGAGAAAGCTTCCATCTTCTTAGATAATACATAAATAATCATATACAGAATGTGGATAGAAATATGAACAGTTAAGGCCATACTTTTGGGATCTTGATAAAAATGAGAAGCACGTTATTGGACAATGGAGAAAAGGAGATCCTTGTTATAAAGTGGCAAAGAGTTTGGGTGAATTGTGTATGTGTTCTAATGTTTTGTGGAAAGCAGAAAGAGATAAAATTCGAAATTTAGCTGAGATTTCTTAGCAAAGTGTTGAAAGAGCAGTCTGACTCCTCCTGACTGTTTATTACAAAATGTGAGAAGAGAGAAATTTCTTGAAGACAGAATTGTTAAACAAAAAGAAACCAGAACTTAAAAATTTGGAAAATTCTCAGCTTGTTCATATAACAAAAAGTAAGAAAGTGTGTTCAGAAAAGAACACCAAGCAGGTGGCTGATTGAACTTTCCATAGGGAGATTAGCATGGGTATGAACCACTAACCTAATCAGCCACCTCAACAGGGGCCAGGAATAGAGATGGGGTCATACCAGCAAAGACACTGTTCATTTGAACTAAAGGGGACAGAAAAAACAGGATGAAATAAAAAAAAAAAAGCTGTCAAAATTCTTAAATTCTACAAGACCAGACCACAGGGATGTTTGGCTGCAAATATTATTCAAGACAAGGGAAGAATAACCTTGAAGGCAATTCAGAGATCATCGAGGCTGCTGCTCTCACCACAGGCCCAAAGTGTACATGCCTTTAGAGAGTACAGATGCCTCCATCTCAATTTCAAAGGCCAAGACCAACACCCAAGACCAACATCACCTGCATCCCAACAGGTCACACAGAGATGTCCAGAAGCTGTAGAGGTGGGACCACTTGGAACCATGGAGCAGAGCCACAGGCGTGTGAATTCCCACCCAGCAGAGCTGTGGAGGTGGGACTGCTGCCCAGTGGGCCCAGAGGACAGAGTATTTAACCAAAAAAGATTATTCTCACTCCTCAAGATATAATGGAATTTATCTTGCTGAGTTTTAGACCCCCAGCCCATCATCACCCCTTCTTTCTTTCCTATTTTTCCTTTTCAAAATGGGAATGTCTATCTTATGCCTGTTCTACCATTGTATTTGGAAGCACATAACTTGTTTGGTTTTACAGGTTCCCAGCTAGGCAAGAATTTTGCCTCAAAATGAATCATACCTCAAGTCTCACCCATAACAGATTTAAATAATATTTAGGGAGAATTTGTACATAAGGCTTTAGAGTCATGGGGGCTGTTAAGATAGGATGAATGTATTTTGCATGGGAGAAGGACATGAATTTTGGGAGGGTGAAATGTTATGGCCTACATCTTTGTGCCACCTCCCAAATTCATATGTTGAAATTCTAATTCCCAAAAGGATACTATTCGAAGGTGAAGCCTTTGGGAGGTAATTAGGTTTAGATAGAATCATGAGAGTGGAGCACCCATGAGAAGATTAATGTCCTTATAAGAGGAGAAAGAAATAAGAGCATTTTTTCTTGACCATGTGAGCTGATTGTGCATCATGAGATATGGAGTGAGAAGGCAGCTATCCACAAGCCAGAAAGCAGGCCCTCACCAGACACTGGGTCTGTCAGCACCTTCATCTTGGACTTCCCAGCCTCCAGAACTATGGGAAATAAAGTGTTTGTTGTATAAGTCACCCACTGTATGATATTTTTGTTACAGCAGCCTGAACTCACTAAGACAGAGTCTTTTTAGTGGAATAAATCAATACAGCCCCTGGCACCTATTGTGTAGATATCGATCTGTCTAATGCATTTTGCTCTATCTCAATTAGCAGAAAATACCAGAAGCAATTACTAAGTAACTCGTAAAACTGACAATTTATAAGAAGATTCCGAGCAAGAGAAGGCTGTCCAGCTAGTCCAGCTCAGCCAGTTAAACTTTATGATTCTGCAGATCCAGTGATGTTTGATTTGTGGTGGCTTCAGATGCTATATAAGGCTTGAGTCAAGACATGTTAGGAGAATGGTAGTTGCAACCCTTAGAGGTTGGTAGCAAAGACAGTCTCTTTTCAGAAAGTTGATGCTCTCCTTTTAGGAAGTTCTTTCTCAAAGCTCCTGAATGTCAAGAAGCCATGCAAACTGAGCTGTCTTCATGAAGTAGGAGTTGTCAGCTCCACCAAGCTATAGTGTCAAGAAGACTGTGCTGCATTCTATCATCCAGGAAATGTGGTACCTATGGAATTGGACTTGAGGAGATCTTTAAGGCATACATTATTCACAGGAGCCTCACACTCTCAGTATATTCACTCCTGCCCATTGCAGCCTCAAGACTCTTGAGAAATCCCTATAATCATTTGGCTAAGAAGGAAAATCGAGTCTAATCTTTGGTGCAAGTGAGAAATGGATTGCTGTGGCTTGTATCCCCACTAAAGGATGGCCTTGAAGGACAATGGAGAAAGGAAAGTTTTCCTGTAGACAGAATTTTAAGTAGTCAATCTCATGATGTGAAGTCCAGGCTTTCAAAAAGAATGAGATTACAGGATCAATAAGAAGTCAGTTTTAATGAAGAAAGGGCATCTCTAAATGGATCCAGAATATGAAAGTACTTGTGTCCCATACGAAAGCTCAGCAAAGAGCCCCATTGTGTAGGAGGTTCTCAATAGTCATGTGGTAAATCAAACCCCTGTAGATATCTGTCAGCCTCTTTCCAGACACTCTTGTGAATGGGTTGATGGATAATGTAGCCATGGTGGCAAAGACAGAGGTGATGCACAGGTTCAAGAGCACAAAGTTAGTTTCAGGGATCGCCATTACGGAGTGTAACCGGGTCCTAAACACTACATAACTGCCTGAGGACCAGCCTGCTGCCTGGTGGCAATTGATTACCTTAGACCCCTTCCTTTGGGAAGGGACAGATATTTGTCCTCTGGACTAGATACTTATTCTCTATATAAGTTTTGTGTTTTGTTCATAATGTCTCCCACAATCCCAAAAGGCATGCAATCACTCAATGCTTTGTTCATGATCATAGTAGTACACACAATGCTGCCTCCTCATTTTATAGCAAAAGTAATAAAGTATTATCTAATGTTCATGGCTTTTACTTGTCTTTCTCAGTACCTTACCTCCTAGAAGTAGTTGGTCTTGCAGAATGATGGAGTGGCCCATGGAATTATAGGCTGTTAGAGACGACAATCTCTTGGGAGACTGAATAATTGTCCTAGGTAATATGTGTTCTGAACAAACGACAGACCAATGTATGACGTCATTTCTCTCATAGCCACACTACAAAGCAGCAGGAAACAGTGGGTGGGAGGATGTGTGGCTCCTCTCACTATCACAACTCACAATCTAAAAAAGTATTTCCTTTATATTTACACAATTCTGGACTTTGCTGGCTTATGGGTCTTGATACCTAAGGATGAAACGCTTTCTTCCACAAAGGTAATGGTTGGTCCATTGAATAGAAATGAGACTTCCTGCTGGCCACTTCATGGTCTTCAAAATAAGTGTTGACTAAGATAATCTTTTCTTATTACAAAGGAAATGCCACATAATGGGAATTAGGGAAAATAAAATGGAACCCAAATGTTTCTAGCGCTGACATTTGTAGAGATAAGTATTAATGGAAAATGGTAGAAACACTAAATTGATCATACTTCCAAGGTTCAAACCCCTAGAAATGAATGAACCTCCCAGAAGACCCCAAGAAGCTGGATGCTGATAGAGGCAAAGGAATATGAAATGGGACATGGAGGAAGGAAGTTTTAAATGCCAACCAAACCTGATGACCCATCTCAGAAACAAACGCTGAAGAAGCTATCCACATTTTTCACTTGCCCTGGTATCTAGATATTTATTTATATTAACTATTTTTATTTTTCCCTACTGTTTCATATGGGATATGTACTCGGTGATTACATTTACAAATTACACTTTAGCTTTCCAGTATCAAGACAGAATTAAGACTAGAAAGTCTATTACATAATTTGGAAATCGGTGCGATGACTGATAAGAATTTGAGTCTTTCTTTTTTAGAAGTAAGGGTGAGGTTTTTTTGTTCATTAAAGAGGCAGGTTTAATTATATTAAGCAAGAGCATATTATTAATGCTATTCTTATTTTCTGGAAGCTTAAGGGGAATAGGAAGAGTAGGTATGGCGTTGAGTAAAAAACATAATGGAATGAGACAGAAAATGCAGAATAGCTCACTTGTTGCTACTCCAAACACCTTCTTGCATTCCTTCTTCACAACAGAAGCCACAAAGCTAAAGATGACATTTCCTTAGCTCTCTTGCAGCTATGGTTCTGCAAGTAGCCTTACTTCATCAAGTAGATGCATCATTATGAAATTAGAAGGCTGAAACAATATCGCACGTGTCTGAGGACACTTGGCTTTTCTGGCATGGTGTAAGCAAATCTTCCTTCTGTGGTAGTTGTATCAGTGTTTCTCATGTTCACTCCCTAGCTTCATGGGTGCTGAGCTTAAACCAGTAGCAGAGGCAAGGGATCAGCTGGAATAGCCATTTGGTAGGGTAGATAGATTATTTCTCCCTGTGTATGGTATCTATGCCAGGTTTCCTAGCTCTCTCAGACCCAGACCTTAAATAAACTACCTCATACCATGTACTGTATCAGAATGGATCTGTTGTATGCAACTAAATCTCAAATATTCAAACAGAAACTATTAACTAACAATAACTTTCTCTAGAAAGGCTCACTTCCTCTTCTTTGCACTCAGTGCCTGCTGTATGCTCTCATAGTTCATCATTTTTCTCACTGTAATATTTTTTATTATTGCTCAACTCTCTCTTACCTCACCCTCTAGAATGGACATATTCTGATGACAGTCCCCTGTAATTTATCCATATTCTGATAAAAGTATATTGTGTTGCCTTTGGGGAACTCCACTCTCCCAATCTCAGCCCAGGTGGTTAGGGCATGTGACCCAAACATGGCCAATCAGCATACTCTATGACCTTGGTTCAGGAGTAAATTGTGATGTAGGGTCAGACCAAGGAGAGTATGCTTGGGACTTCATGTTAGAACTACTGCAAACATGGCATTCTTGCACTGGGCTCCCTTGGGTGACAGAACATAAGTCTGGAATATCTTGACAGATTAGTATCATTTGAGAAGAAATTGAAAATTAAACCAACAGAAAGCAGAACTTGGTGGTGGAGAAAGAACCATTAATTCTGATGACATTATTTGACCATATTTTGGAAAAAAAGTACAAACAAAATGTAAACATCATCTGAAATCCTACCACTCAGAGATAATCTAAGTTAACATGTTTATGACCAGGCTTTCATGTATCTCTAGGTAAAAACATACACATAGTTTTTCCTAAATGCAATCATATTATGTATTATTTTTATTACAAATGTTTTTCATTTTTTTCTATAATTTAATTTTATTTACATCTTGCTATTCCCTCTTTTTCTCTCCCCACTTTCATTTCTCCACCCCACCTTCCAGCAACAAATGCTAAGGGCCCAGTGTTTTTATTTCTATATATTTCTTCCTGACCAAACAAATATAAGTAACGATTAATATACTTATTAGAATTATATTGTTATTGCTGTTTTTCTTGTTATAACAATGGCATTATATTGTATACCTACTTTGCATGTAGCTTTTCTGCTATAACAATACATTATGGAAATATTTCAGGTTAAATGATACAAATTTAATTCATTACAGGTGCTCCTCAACTTACAATGAGGTTATGCCCTGATAAACCCATTATAAGTTGAAAATATTATAAGTCCAAAATGTACTTAATGCACCTAACCTACTAAACATCATAGCCTATCCTGTCCTACTTTAAACATGCCTAGAAGACTTACATTAATTGATAATTGGGCAAAATCATCTAACACAAAGCCTATTTTATAATAAGGCATTGAACTACTCATGTAGTTAATTGAATACTGCACTAAAAGTGAAAAACAGAATGGTTGTAAAAGTACTTGAGATAGAGTTTCTACTGAAGGTGTATTTCTTTTGCACCACTGTGAAGTTGAAAACTCTTAAGTACAACCATCGTAAGTCAGGGACTGTCTATTTTTTAATGATTGCAAAATATTACCCACTGTGGATGTACCATGTTTCATTCAGCCCTTCCTCTATCACTTGATATTTAGTTTGTTTCATTTCATTTGTTTCATTCTTTTCTCTCTCTTCCACTGAAAAACATGCTAGAATAAAGATATCATTATATCCTGGTGTCTTTTTTTAATCAGCCAAATTCCCAGAAGTGGGATTGCAGGGTCAGAAGATCTGTATGTTTCACTTTAAAGGCATATTGCCAGATTGCTTTCCAAAGGGCTAAAATAATTTCCATCTCCATCAGAAATGTGTGATGCCTCTTTCTCTTTGGCATATCACCAGGTCTGAGTGATAATGCACTTAAAATATTTGCATTGTATCTTTAATTAGAAATGTTCCTGATTAGTATTGAGGTTAAGCATCTTTTCATATGCTTATTGACCATTTCAATTTGCCCTTCTCTAAATAAGCTATTCATATACTTTTCTATTGAACTGTCTTTCTTTATTATTAATGTGATGATACACAGGATGCAATCAAAATCACAAGATATTATTTTAGGAAAATATGCAACATACATATGTATGTGTATATTTGTGTGTATGTGTGTAGGACAGATAAATGGCTAATACTTATACTAAGAGGGTCTTTGTGATTCTAAACTTTTGCCCTTAGACAATAGAACATGGCATGGAGAAGAATAAAAAAGCTGGTCGATTTGCTCAGAAATCTATAACTGTCGCAACAGCATATTTGAGAATTTGGAACCCCAATGAAAAGCCCAGTGAAGAAGAGAAAGTTCATTCCAAAAATGAGAACAGAATAGGAAATGTGAACTGAAAATGATGAAGAGAAAAGAAGAGGCTGCAGCTTTAAATAATAATGAGCCAAGGCAGGGCTATTCAGGCTCAAAGTCAAGGGCAGGGGTGAATATCAGTCTGATAAAGGTCACCCCCCACCCTTTTATTCTGTGCCTCCTATGCTGTTCACCACTTTTAACCACAGTGGGGGCATCTCATCAACTACACCATGCAGAGGCCCAGGTCTTCACTTGCTTGTTATTCCACAGCAGATCTAAAAGGTAGAGCACCTTTGTGATCTGTACACTTGGCAAGAAGACCAGAGTCACAAAAGTGTTTGCAGTAACTCTCAGAGCCTGCTCCATTCCCTCTATAGCTGCCAAGATTTGCTCATTGCCAGTCTGTCTTCCATTGTTCAAGTTACCATGACAATATACCATTCTTCAATATAAAGATAACCTTACTGATCCCCCCTTCTTCACATGGCAGTTTAAATCGGTTTCCTGCATGTAAAATGGGTTGTTGAGGCATAATCACAGATATTAGATATGGAAGAAACTTAGAAACCAGCCAGGTTAATACATAGCATGTGCACTCACACACTCTTCCTGTCCACATCCATGGCAGATATCACCAATTGACCGCAGAACCCTCTTCTTTAGAGCCTGAATATAGCTCCAAATTTCTCTTTCATTTGGTGTTCTTTAAAAATGGATCCAACTTCATATATGAGATGAATACGATTTGCCTTCCCTGACCAACTTTATCTAGAGATGGTAAAGGTGAGGATTGAGGGGAAAATGTCTAGTAGCACAAAAGAAGTAACCAGTAGAACCAGGGAGAATGGCATAGGGAGATGTTTGGAAAAGGAAAGAAATTCAACTTACTCAATGTGTTTGTGCCATGTTTATTGAGGTGTTGTGCTTGCAGTTTTGAACATGTTATCTCAAGACAGAAAATAGTTCTACTTTGAGCGTGCTTCATTAGTTACTCTCTTGATCAGTGTCCTTTACAGATATACAAGACAAAGTGCCAAGATCATGGCTCCAGCTGTGGCCAGGGGCCGAGTGATGCTAACTAGGACATGAATGCAGTGTGATGAAAGCCACGACCTCATTCCCCTTATCTTTGTGCTCTCATCATCCACTTCCACTTCAGCATTATGACTTTGAGCCTATGCCAGAAAGAATGGCACTCTTAAAGGAAGCTGCTATGCCTCATCTGGTGATGAGCTCAGCCATGTACAGACTTAATATGTATGAGAGCCAGTTAGCTTGGCCTAGAAAAACTTGCTCTAGAACCACATGTTGTATTAATGGAAAGTACTGTACTTTCCACTTTGGCCAATAACTACCCTTTATCACAAAGGGCCAAATAAGAAAATGAGCAGCTCAGTATAACCCATCTTGTCTGCCAGACACTATCTAATCCCCTCCTTGACACAAAACATTACCATCATCGCCACTGCTGATACGTGGCAAGATTATGGCATAGATATAAAATTGCCATTGGTGATGACATTAAAGTTATCTAACTAATAAGCACTTTGTTCCTCTACTGTTTCATAGAATTTAATCACCATTTGCCATATGCTCTGCAATATCAGAGAGAGATATTTGGGGAAGAAATTCAACAGCTTATAAGTAATAAATATGCATGGACTTTGAGATCAGACAGACATGGGTGTACATCCTGACTCTGCCACTTAATTATGTGACTTTAGATAAGTAACTTAACTTCTCTGAGTCTCAAGTGCTTCAACTATAAAATAAAACGTGGGTAACAATGAGATAATGAAAGGAAGATATGAGGCATAATTCTTGGCATATAGTAAACTTTTCATGAATGCTTAATATTATTAAATATTTTCATATTAAGAGTAAAAAGTAATGAATGGTAATAATTTCTACTATTGTTACTAGTAATAGTAATAGATATTTGCTTGTCTCCCTCAGCCCCCATAATTACTTACCTTCACCACCCTTGCAACCCATTCTTAGCAAACTTTCCCAAATGAGCTTTAATTCATTCCATTTCTCAGAGAAAAGCCATCCTTCCTCCAGCTAGCCATAAGAAGTCCTCTGGAGAGTCAAGTTCAATGTCTGCTTCTGGGAAGCTCTCTCTCAGCACCTAGGAGATGCCCTTTGTTCCTGATCTTCGGTACCATGCCCTCTGGTACTTCTTTCAGTCCACATATGCTTATTACATGCCTGTGTTGTGATAAGCATTACAATCACGCTCTCTGCTATCAAGTGAGATTGCATTTGGGCCTTTGATTTGCTGGTCTCTATTTGCTGTGTTTTCCTGCCTCCCCCACAAATTCACGTGGTTGGATCTTCTCAGTTTTGCAGACGTCAGGTTAAGTGTTGCCTCTGCAGAGCAGCCTTCCTTTATCCTGCTCTTCCAGTAGCATTCCCCACCTCTCCACCAGTTACTCTTCAATCTTCTTACTTTCTTTCTTTTTTTTTTTATATAACTTTTTAGTTATTTACTTTTTAGAGACAGGGTCTGGCTCTGTTGCTCAGGCTGGAGCGCAGCGGCACAATCATAGCCCACTGCAGCCTTGAACTTCTTGGTTCGAGTGATCCTCCTACCTCAGCAACTCAAAGTGCTGGCATTACAGGCATGAGGCACCGCGCCCAGCTCAATCTGCTTTTCTCATTTGTTTTCATTTTTCCATATTTCTTTCCTATTGGAAGGTAAACTTCATTAGAATAAGAATCTTGTGGACCGGGTGCCATGGCTCAAGCCTGTAATCCCAGCACTTTGGGAGGCCAAGGCGGGTGGATCATGAGGTCAGGAGTTCGAGACCAGCCCGGTCAATATGGTGAAACCCCGTCTCTACTAAAAATACAAAAATTAGCTGGGCATGGTGGCACGTGCCTGTAGTCCCAGCCACTTGGGAGGCTGAGGCAGAATAATTGCTTGAACCCAGGAGGCGGAGGTTGCAGTGAGCCAAGATCACATCACTGCACTCCAGCCTGGGCCACAGAGCGAGACTCCATCTCAAAAAAAAAAACAAACAAACAAAAAAAAAAACCAGAATCTTGTCTATCTTGTTCATTGCTGTACCTGTACCCCCAGCATGTAGAACATTACCTAACATATGTAATGAGCTCAATAAATAGCTGCTGGGTAAATAAATAATTTTTGCTTTTTCCTCAAATATTATTAGAAGCTTCAGGACAATACCATCTAGAACAGGTATTACTTTTACAGTCAGTTTACTGTGCTTGAGACAGTATTACTCAACAGTTGAATAAAATAGCTGGCAATAACTAAATTCAATGGGAAGTATTGTTAAGATATGAATCCTTGGCATATTATCACTAGATTATAAGCTCCTTGGGGGTAAAAGTCAACTCTTTTTCATTGCTGTGCTTCCTGTAGTGCCCAGCAAGCATCATTAAATGCACTTTTATAATAAGAGCTTAGCTATGTCAAATGGAATTGAACAGAATAGCACAAGCGTCTGCAGAAATGTTCAAACACCCGCAAGAGGCAACAATAAAACTGCAAACTCACACCCGCTTCCTCTGCAGCATTGGCTCGGATCTTAGAAAAGCACTATCTATAATTAGGATTTTATTCTTTTTATATCCACAGTATAAGAAAGGAGCTCTTACTTTCTGGGTGGCTGGAAAAACAGAAAATAAACCACCATGTGAAACAAAAATGAAGATGCTCGAATTATTTCCGTTTTATTACCAGATCCCTGATTAAATGTGCCTGTCTGCATTTCCTTATTCTTCAGTAGACTCTATTTCTAATCTAAGCCTTGTCATACCTGACCAAATATATCTTTTTCCACTGGAAATTTAGGCTGATGACAAAGATAAGATAGGTTAGTGTCTAGGAAGCATCTTGCAGTTGCTGGGGCTAATGACCTTCTCATTAACTCATAACTCATAATAAGGAGGAAGGTGGTGGCTTCTATTTATTAAGTGCATATTATGTGGCTGGTGCCAATAATATGTTAAGTAAGCCACGTGTATTAACCATGTAGTATTTTACATATATTAAAAAAGAAAACGCCAAACCTGATACTGGTGAAATCTGAATACTGCCTAATAGTTTGGTTGGTATTATTGTACCAATGTCAGTTTCTGGTATTGATAATGTACTAATTTATCTAATATGTTACATGTTAGGAAGCTGGCAGAAAGGTGCAAGAAAACTCTCTACTCTTCTTATAACTTTCTATGGATCTAGAATTATTTCAAAATAAAAAGTTTTTTTTAAATAAAGAAAAAGCAAATCCTGGGATGGACACAAGGAGGTTAAACAGCTTGCCCAGATCACAAAGCTCAAATGTGAAGGGATGGGTCCATTTGAACCCAGGTTCACCTGGTTGGAGCCCATGGGTTAACTACCATTCACTACTTACAGGCCATGCTCTGAATTTCTCCCCCTTATTTCTCTCAAATAACACAAGCTCCTTATCTCCATGTTGTTCCTCACCTTGGCTACCAGGAAGCTCAGAGCTAAGTGATACTAAATTACATCACCTATTGACTATTATTGGAATATCAGTTTCATTCCTCTTGGGTCAGTTTCCTTCTAACATCCACCCACCTTGAACTTTCTTAGATTCATTTTTATCTTTTTTTTTTTTTTTTGCTTTTGGTAAGTCGCAACTCCTTTGAAAAATGATTCCAGATTACAAATAAAGTTAAGGCTCTTTCTCCACAAGCTGTAACAATACTCTTACCTTCAAGTTTGTTTCTGAACCTAGAGATCAATTCATACCACTCAGCCGGTATCCCACAGTACTGATCCTAACACTAGAAATGTAACCAAGGCAAAAGACTAGGTATAAACCGATGGCCTTATGATTGCAAAAGGTGACAGGCCTTTCCTATCTTTATTTTATTTTCTCAAAATTAAATACTTGGCAGGGTTTTCCTTGAGCTAATTAGCATCTCTTCTTAACATTTTAAGTAACTGCTCATTTAGAGCAGTGAATGATTGCTCTGAGATTAGAGTGTAGGGAAAATCTTTCTGTTGGGAATAATCTACTTATGCGGCTGTTTGTTTGAAGCAGAGATAAACAGAGATTTTTTTTTCCTTCTCAACATGCCAGGCGTAAGAGAACAGGGTGATTAATGAAACTCTGCTTTTCACCAATAAATTTCTGACTTCAGATACAAGCTCACAGTTGCTGAGTTTTTTGAGTTAATAAATTTTTTTAACCCACAGGAAAACGAAAATTGCACCATGTAGATTCTAGAACCCATTTAAATCTGTTACATTGTGAACTATTTTTGGTTCTTAAAATGGTTTAGGTAATTTTTCATTGGCTCTACTGGGAATGCCACTTTGTGCTCTGTTATTTATAATCTGCAGAAATTAATTATGCTGCTAATTAACAGCTTGCAAACAAATTATTGCTCAAGGAGGTATTTATTCAGTTATGAAAGCACAACTTCAGGGTTCTATGTAGATCCTTTCTGACAGCTCTTTTATTTCTTGCTTTTGTTTCTGGATTTTTCTGCTTCTAAGATTCAATGAAGTTCTACTTGGAGGGGTGGGGATTAGTCAGGATCTCAGCAGCCAGGAAGTGTGTCAACTACTCTACCAGGAGGAGGAGAAAGGCAAAACAGTTGCACAGCCTGCCTAGTGTGTACCCTGGGGTTGATAAAGAAATTCCTTATGTGAGTGGTGTTTCCTCTAACAACCACTACAAGGCTTTACACCTCCACTTTTGCATTTCCCAGGCTCTCAGGAGAGCTCTGGAGACAATACTGGCATCAGATAAGGGGAAGGTAGAAATGTAAGCATGTGCCACATAGATGACTACACCCCATGCACATGCTTATGGCAGGCAGTAACTGATCAGATTCAGCTCCAGACTCTGAATCCTTCTTGACGCAGCGTTCCAGGTAGGCATTACCTGCAGTAGGAGGAAAGCACCAGTGAAAGTGGGTGGCTTGATATTTCTAACTCATGCAAACAACTCTCCTTCCATAACTAGGCTGTGGGATTGACCAGTGGGACGGGGAAAGTTGTAGATTAAAAAGCTCTTTCTCTCTTGGCAAGATCTCAAAGGGCCAATCAGGACACTGCCCGAGTCTAACTGACCCCACCCTGCCCAAAGAGACACAAAATTATTGGGTCCTGGCAAGAACATAAAGAGCTGGTATTAGTCTGTTCTCGCATTGCTATAAACAAAATCTGAGGCTGGGTAGTTTATAAAAAAATAAGTTTAATTGGATCATGGTTCTGCAGGCTGTACAGAAAGCATGATGCTGGCATCTGCTCAGCTTCTGGGGAGGCCTCAGGAAGCTTACAATCATGGCAGAGACAAAGAGGGAGCCAGCCCTTCACATAGCCAAAGCAGCAAGGAGGGGAAGAGGAGGTACTACACACTTTTAAACAACTGGATCTCACAAGAACTCACTATCACCGATGACCGCACCAAGGAGGATGTTGTTAAACCATTAGAAACCACCTGCCCCCATGATCCCATTACCTCCCATGAGGCCCCATCTCCAACATTGAGGATTACAATTCAACATGAGATTTGGGTGGGACACAGATCTAAACCACATCTGAGCTAGTCCCAGCGGACGGGCAAGTGGAACAGGCCATGACCCTGCAAGGGGCAAGGAGGCCACAAGAAAAAGTAAAAAGAACTCTGGGCAGGGGTTAGTCTATCTGGTTCTGAGTCCTTGCATGCCATTCTGTGGCTGTGAGACCCTGAGTAAGTTACTTCCCTGTCTGGCCCTTAGTCTTTCTCCCTCTGCCAAAAGAGGGAAGTGGGCTCAGGGTCCCTGGGATCCTTCCAGCTCTGCTGTCCAATGTTCCAATGCTGCTGCCGATGTTGGACGCACCTGGAGCCACCCAAGGCCAGGTCTCTTCCAATCAGTAAAATGAAGATGCTAATGAAGATTGTTCTGGCACCTAGGTAAGGGAGCACAGAGCTGGGCTTATGAATCAAACTGAAGAATGTTGAGGATGATAGGAGAAAAGCAGGTGCAAGTGTGAAGGTCATCATGTTGTCTTTGATGGTTGGCACACATGTAGCAGCATTTACCCCCAAATTCAAAGGAACCAAATGCACCTTGTCGTACTGGAGACACTTAGTCTCTGAAACTCCCTTCACTTCAGCATCCCTCCAAGCACATCTTGCTCTCTCTAACTAACCAGCCCACCTTTCTTCCAATCTAGAACTCAAGGCCTCACCTGTTCTAAGCAAATGGATTGGCTGCCTTTCAGCATCTGTCTTAAAGCCAAGAAACAAGGACCCACATTCACTTTATCAGAAAAACCCAGAACCCTGGTCACTTGTAGCTGCAGTTAGATGCTTCCATGCTGCTAGGACCAGAATTCCGCCACAAGCCAGACCAGACGTCCCTGCAGCGTAAGCCATCCTCTCGCATCTCACAGAACTCAAGGCGGCCAGTCCCTGAGACAGCGCCCTCTTCCTGCTTTCAGACCTTAACTCTCCATGTTCAAGGAAACCAGATTTACTCTGGAAGAGTATTCTCTCCAGCTTACAGGTGACAAATTGTCAAGAGTCAAAAACTGAGTGACATTTTCTGAATTCCAACAAACAGATTTAACAATGTCCATGAATACAGCACATTTTTATCATAAAATTTTCCCCTGTACCTTATCTTCCTTGAAGTTTGCAACCAGCCTATGAGCTGAGAATGTTATAATCCCCATTTCAAAGATGACCTTCAAAAAGGTGAAGCAACAGGCCTCAAGTTCCAAAGCTGGGAGGTCACAAAGCTGGGTCTTGACTCCATGACTTATGAGAGTCAATCCTGTTCTGACCCCACATCATGGGCCCCTCTGATGCGTCATTACTCAGTAACTGGCACCGGGAAACTGAGGAGTGAATTTCAGGCCAATGAAGCATCCACGAAACTTCCTTTTTCAGATCCCCCTCCAAGCAGTACCCCTGCTGTCTGCAGGGTCTTCCAGCCTTCCAGGAAGCCAAATGCAGCAAAGCAATGAACATGGACTGGATTTGAACTCTGGCCCTTACCTGATTAACTGCCTGATGTCAGACAAGTTCCTTAAATGCTTTGAGCCACAGTTTTCTTTTCTGGAAAATGGCAATGATAAACTCTTACCATGCACAGAGAAAAATGTACAAAGACGTTGGTCACAGTCTTGTTTATTATAGTAAAAACAGGAAACAATGTAATTATACATCAGTAGGAGACTGAACAAATAGACTGATGTTTAGTCATAAGACGGAATACTCTGCCACATTTAAAATGAACAAACTAGATAGTAGAGAGAGAGAGAGAGAGAGAGAGAGAGAGATGATAGATACAATTAGGTGGATAAATCTAAAAAACCAGGAGTGAATACAGCAAAATGAAAACAATAGGAGGTATATAATATAATATATGGCATATATCCCTTATTTTAATGTTTATGCATCTATCTACTAAAAGAATAAAAATATGATTATGAATGATATTCAACAACCTACTGATATTGTTTCCTCTGTGGAGGGAAAAAGGTAAAGGCACATGAGTGAAAATGTTAATGTTTCTCATATAAGCACTACACGATTGCCTTTAGGTCCAGTTCATGTTTCTAGTAAAGTTTCAGTAATTTGGGGTTTTTCACGCTGAATCCTATTTTAGATGTACCTTGTAAGATCAATATTTAAAGGAACCTTTGATAATTTCAGCCTTAGCAAAGGATCCTTCTGTTATGTAATTAGTCAGCCCCTAATTCTGTCTATAGCTTAGACTAATACTTCAAAACTGTTTTCCAAAAGATACTCATTCATTCAACGTATATTTAGTGAAGGCAAACTATGCCAGTCACTGGGCTAGGAGAGGCATACAGAAATAAATAAAGTAAATATGGATCCTGCACTCTGAGAGCTTACAGTTGGGGAAAAAAATTAACAAGTAAACAAATCGTGCAAAATTCTGTGAAAGAAGTGAATACGGTGTTATAATTTTATATATTAAATACGTATATATGATTTTAGGTGGATAAATCCCAAAAACTAAGAGTGAATAAGGCAAAATGCAAACAATAAGAAGTGTATAATACACCATGTGGTAAAAATCTTGTACTTTAACATGGCAGAGTCTCAGTTACCTATTGTGTATAATAAACGACCTCAAAATTCAATGTCTTAAAATAGCAACTTTACTATGTCTCACAATTCTGTAGGTTGACTGGATGGTTCTGCTTTCTGAGTTGTTGGTTGGGGTGTGGAGATGGCTGGAAGGTCCAAAGTGGCCTCACCCATAAGCTGGGCAGTTAGTGCTGGCTGCCAGCTGGGAACTCAACTGGGTCTACCAGCCAGGGCCCCAGTTCTTGCCCACAAACGGCATCCTATGAGGCTGCCTGAGCTTCACCAGCATGGTGGTTGAGTTCAAGAAGGAGTGTTCCAAGTAGAAAAAATGGAAGCTTTGTACCTCCTAAGGTCCAGCCCCAAAATGACACTGGGTCACTTTTGCCACATTCTATTTATTAAAATAAGTCATGGGCCCATCCCAGATTCAAAGGTACAGAAATTCGGCTCTACCTGTTCATGGAAAGACATGCAAAGACTTGACGGCAACATTTAGTCCACCACCCAGAGGTAAGGATTGCTTGTACTTAAGGAACACTGGGTACCATATCTTTTTCTTAGATATTAACTATGTTTACAAAATGAAGTTTCTAAGAAGTCCTAAAGTAAAGATCATTACTTTACTTACCTTTATAAAAATGTTTCATTTATTTCAACCTGTATATATTTTTTACTTTTCTAACCCAGTATTTTCCAAAGTTAGTTGGCCAAGGTGCTCTTTTTATTCACAGAATGCCTAGAACTAGCATTTTTGCACTCAGTATGAGAAATGACTGTTTTAAATGAAATAGATTTTTGTAGCTTAGAGTTGCTTAAAGCAGGGTCCAAATGACAGGTATCTTGTGTTCCTTGGAGTAAAAGTTCTTCTGCATAAATCAGAAAAATTAATAAACACTGCAACACAGTCTGCATGACAAAGCCCAGACCTGAGACAGGGAGGGGCCTTCAGCAAAGAGGGAAGGAACGGGATCTGGGTTTTGTCACCTGCTCAGGCCTCCCCGGACTTTCAGCATTTCTCTGTTAATGCCTCTGGCCTAGAAATGACAAGCTCTAGAATTTAATTTGCATCTGGAATAAAAATCTATGAGTAAAATGCCATCAACCTGTAATACTACAACCACCTGGACAATTATTAGAGATGAACTGCTGTGAGTCACATGGAAGACCACTGTACTCCTCTTGAATGCAATCCAGCATGCAGCAGACAGGCTGTGATGTTCAGCAGACAGGCTGTGATGTTCAGCAGCCTCGGCGGCCGTGTTACAATTGAATTACAAGGGGGAAAACAGCTCTGTGCTGATTTCATAATTATCATGATCTACTATTATGATCCATCACCAACGGAGCAGTCAGCGAAGCCGCAATAAATCATCGTTATTTATATTGCAACAAATCACGTGGAAGTATCATCGAGAATCATAATTCACACTCGCTTCAGATCGTAATTAGCTATATATGACTGTCTAGGTATGTCGTGAAAGTAACACAAGAAAAACAAATTATAACCAGTGCTGTCTTGAAGACTTGGTTTCTCTAAACAAGTTTTTAAGCTTTGCAAGGAGGAAAGCCAAGTTTTGCTATTTCTTTCCCCCAATATCTTTTCTGGGTTTTAGGGGATCACATCAGAAGTGGGCTGAGTTCTAGGATCCACCTTTAAAATGAACGCTGGCCAACACTATAAGCTCTTAGACTTGACATTATTCTTGTGAAAAACAGCTAGAGAGATTGGGAATATTTATCCTCGTGGAAATATGAGTTGCAAGAATGAAATATTTGGAGGATTGTCCCATAACTGTGCTGCCTCAAGAGGAGTCAAGCTCTGTCTCCACCGGTGGGCAAGTAGGGACTAGACAGGATTATGGCTCCAGATAAAAGCTGGTTAGATAAAACATTTTCATATATTTTTTAGCCACCAAATTCTCAGAATCAGTAACAGTGCTGTGCTGGCCATATTGGAAACTGATTGAAAAGGAAATACCAATAATACTGAGCTTGTCTTCACTTAAAATATTACAACAAAATTGTGATATTTTGTTCATCTTTTTGCATTAATTTTAATGTTTAAAAATATTTCGGTAAAGTGTTACTTATCTAAATTACTGGTTTTGAGGTGCTCCCTTAGATTTTGCAACCTAGATGAGTGCCACAGGTATTCATGCTAGTCTTACCCTGTTGAATTTTCTCAACAATTCCATAAAGTAGATACGATTATGATCCCTACTGTAGAGATGAGAAATCTGAGGCCCTGGCAGGTTAAGTGACTTGCCTAAGCCATGCTCTGGACAGCCCTGAAACTTGCTAGAGTAAGAACAACTCACAGACTTCTTTTGTCTCCTTTACTCCTACACTATATTGCTGAATAATGAAGCTGAATTAGAGTGATTTTCAGTCAGAAGGAAGAGACCTAGAGTAACAATGGACCATAAATTAGAGGAGGAGATTGGCCTTACGTGCAGCACACTTCATTATTCACCATAGAGCAGGAACGCTTAACAAAGAAAGGGTCTACTACCTTTACAGGGTCCAACAACGAACAACTCCCCCAGTGTTATCTAAAAAGGTGTGTGTGGTGTGTGTGTGTGTGTGTGCACGCACACGTGTGTGTGTGCGTGCGCGCGCGTGTGTGTGTGTGTGTGTGTGTGTGTGTTGGCCAGAGGGGGTCTATAGGTGTCATCAAATTCTCAAAGTGATCCTTGACTTCCGCAAGTTTAGAATCACAGCTCTAAGAATTTGGATAACTTTCACTATGAAGTCTTACATTAAATGATCTGGAAACAATCTTCAAATTGTTATCTATCACAACCAAGGTGTCTCCAGGAGAGCAACATGCAGTTATTGGAACCAAATATTGTTCCTCTCTACAAGCTTGGTTGGGCATAAGTTATTAACAGTCCCCTAATAAAATAACTTTAGAGATCACCTAGTCTTAAAACCCAATCTTAAATTCATTTTATTTATATGTCAATAAAATGAGGCTCAGATAAATGGTATGACCTGTCCCCTGTCCCAGCTGAGTCATCACAGGGCTGAGTTAAATCTAAAGCTAGGCCCCTGAGCACCCTTCTCCATTCAAGCATCTGGCTTCCACTGGAAGAACACACCTAGGACCCAGTTAACTCAGGTGTGACTGACCAACAATACTGACATGCTCTAAGGTCTGAGCCACTGGTGCACATAAGCTAGTGCTTTATGTACGTTAGCCCCAACTCACCTGGGACTCAAACCCTAAGCCTCCACTTCTTTGTATCTTCTTTCAAATATAGACAATTGTGAAGCTTTTGTGAAGACCATCTGCACTAAACCAGAGACTCCCTTTAGTTTGGGATTTGGAACCAACTACCCTGTAATTGGCACTACTCCCCAGAATCTTATGACCGCCCTCTCAGAGGGCCCAATTTCTAAAGAATTTCTCCCTGAAGCCAACATGTATGGTGGTGATTATTCTTTAAAAATAAAGAGAATCTGGCTTCAGAGAGTGCATGTGAAGCCTGGTCTCAGAAATGGTAAATGATCTCATTTGGAAATAAAAGGGCTTGATAGCATGGTTTTCCAATAATTAAATTAAGGAATGCAAAAAGAAACAGAGCTGAAGATGGCAGGACTGGACAGATAAGCTTTAATGGGGTCTCAGGCCTCAAGAAAGAAAAATGATTTAACAAGGTAGAAAAAAGGTATCAGACAAAAATCACTAATAAACATTATCAACAATTTGAAAGTGGTGAAGTTCCCACCTGTCATGTGTTCAAGCTCATTGTGAGCCAAAAACTTCTGGGCACACTGTGGGACACACAGAGAGAGAAGAAATAGCCACTGTTGGCCAGGTGCATGGACTCATGCCTGTAATCCAAGCACTTTGGGAGGCCAAGGTGGGTGGATCACCTGAGGTCAGGAGTTCAACACTAGACTGGCCAATGTGGTGAAACCCTGTCTTTACTAAAAATGCACTGTTGGCTGGGCATGGTGGCGGGCACCTGTAATCCCAGCTACTAGGCAGGCTGAGTTGAGGCAGGAGAATTGCTTGAATCCAGGAGGCAGAGGTTGCAGTGATCTGAGATGATGCCATTGCACTTCAGCATGGGCAACAGGAGCGAAACTCAGTCTCAAAAAAAGAAATAGTCACTGTCCTTGGGGAGTTTACAATCTAGTTGTGTTGTTAAGCGTAAAGCATAGCAATCAATCAGTGAATAATGTGGCATACTGCATAAACATGGTGCCATTATCTTGGAGAAGAGAGCTACCAGTATGAGTTGAAATAGCAATGGGAGGTAAGGCCTCCAATTAAGTAAGCCCTAACTACAATCTGCTAGGAAGGTATTTACCACCTCCCGTCCTGTGCGTGCACCTCTGCACTCTATTACAGTCCGAAGCTGTCTTCCAGTGTCAGGTTAATTCAAGATGAACTTGTTGTATCAGTTGGTGCAAAAGCAATTGCAAAACTGAAGTTTTTATATATCCAAAGGCCAGAAAAGGGACAAATGTGTTATAAGGCTACAGGTATTCTGCTGGGTAGGACTGCATGTAGATTAAAACACAGCATTAGGGCTTTTTTTGAGAATTGTCTATTCATGTCCTTTGCTCACTTATTAACGGGATTATTTGTCTTTCTTTTTAATTTTTTTATTTTGTAGACATGGGAGACCCCTATGTTACTTAGGCTGGTCTCTAACTCCTGGGCTCAAGTGATCCTCCCACCTTGGCCTGCCAAAGTGCTGGGATTACAGGCACGAGCCACTGTGCCCAGCCTGTTTGTTTTAATTGTTGAGTTATTTGAGTTTCTTGTATAGTCTGGAAATTAGTTTCTGGTCAGATAAACAGTTTGCAAATATTTTCTCCCATTCAATAGGCTGAAATGATAAATATTCAAAGTGCTAGATACCTCAGATACCCTGACTTGATCATTACATGTTATGCATGTAACAAAGTATCACATTTACCCTAGAAATGCATGAAATATCATGTATCAATTTTTTTTTTTTTTTTTTTTTGAGACGGAGTTTCGCTCTGTCGCCCAGGCTGGAGTGCAGTGGCGGGATCTCGGCTCACTGCAAGCTCCGCCTCCCGGGTTCACGCCATTCTCCTGCCTCAGCCTCCCAAGTAGCTGGGACTACAGGCGCCCGCCACTACGCCCGGCTAATTTTTTGTATTTTTAGTAGAGACGGGGTTTCACCGTTTTAGCCGGGATGATCTCGATCTCCTGACCTCGTGATCCGCCCGCCTCGGCCTCCCAAAGTGCTGGGATTACAGGCGTGAGCCACCGCGCCCGGCCCATGTATCAATTTTTAATGCATACAAAAATATTAGGCAGTCAGAGGTATTTTGAATTTCTTTCTCAGATCTTTGAGATGATAAAGGAAAATAGAAAGTTGGCTGTATACCTGGAATAGAGCATTGCACCAACATATTTCTTTTTTTTGTTTTGTTTTTTTTTTTTTTTGAGACAGGGTCTTTTTCCCATTGCCCAAGCTGGAGGGCAGTGGCATGATCATGGTTCACTGAAGCCTTGACTTCCTGGGCTCAGGCGATCCCCCCACCTCAGCCTCCTGAGTAGCTGGAACTACAGGCCTACACCACCACATCCAGCTATCTTTTTGTTTTTATATTTTTAGTAGAAACAGGGTCTCACCAGCTGGGCGCGGTGGCTCATGCCTGTAATCCCAGCACTTTGGGAGGCTGAGGCAGGCGGATCATGAGGTCAGGAGATCGAGACCATCCTGGCTAACACAGTGAAACCCCATCTCTACTAAAAATACAAAAAAATTATCTGGGTGTGGTGGCGGGCGCCTGTAGTCCCAGCTACTCGGGAGGCTGAGGCAGGAGAATGGTTTGAATGCAAGAGGCAGAGCTTGCAGTGAGCCGAGATCGCGCCACTGCACTCCAGCCTGGGCAACAAAGTAAGACTCCATCTCAATAAATAAATACATAAATAAATAAAATAAAATTTAAAAAAAGATATGGGGTCTCACCATGTTGCCCACGCTGGTCTTGAACTACAGGGCTCAAGTGATCCTCCCTTCTCAGCTTCCCAAAGTGCAAGGATTACAGGCATCAGCCACCACACCCAGCCCCAACATATTTCTTGAAAGCACTCCCTCACACTCACACTTAGGAGTAGAAATGTATAAACAGGAGGCTGGGAGAGCCATGGACACCAGAGGAGGGTTGGGGCTACCACAGCTGGAGGAAAGCCAGTAAACCAGGAAGGAGGAGACATTGGAAGAAATGGAGAATTCTAGAGGAGAGAAAGAGTTAAAAAGACAGAGACACTGAAAAGGGAAGAGAGGTATAGAGGGGAACTCAACAGGGCACGTGCTGGCCTCAGGTCTTGGTAGTGAGGCCACTGTGACTTCACAGAGCACAAACCAGAGCATGGATTGATTGGAGCACCACCACAGGCAGTTTCATCACCCTCTGCTGTCCCCTCTACCATGCCATCTTGCCCCTGTATGATGTAAATTTTTATCACTAAAAATATCAACAAGTGAAGAGATTTCTGAACCTCTGTTTTTGTGTCTATGAGGTATGTGCAGCAAAAGTGATGAAAACACAATTGCTGAAGTTTTTTTATTGAGTTGGGTGAGTGCTTTCCATGAAATAACTCATTGAATCCTCCTAGGGATCAACAAACAGAAGGTGCAAATCACTGCCTCTTTCTCCATCAATGATGAGAAATTGAGATCTCTTTAGTGGGAAATTTTGGGGAAAAGCGTTCACTCTTATAAGACCCTCATGTAGAAATAAAAAAACAGTAAGATGATGGCCTTGTTTTCCTTCCTTCCTCATCTCTCTCCAAAGCATCCCCACCAATAAAGAAAAGCTTTAGAATCCCTATGGCCAAATAAAGAGCCTGGTACCAACTTAAACTACAATTCAATCCCCCTGCTCCACCCTGAGCCAATGTAAGCATTCCTCTGGTCTGTGAAACAAACAAATCAACAAATACTCCCTTGATCGAGACATACATACTTTGTAAAAATGTCCTTGACATAAACTCAAGTTTTCCTTTGCACGTGCACACACACACACACACACACACACACGCTCCCCTTATTGAATAAGAGTATCCTCCAACCCTTGGAAATTTACTGTATAGCTCATCTTTTCTAATACCTGATCCTTCCCAGAGTGGTCCTTATAGTTATCTTGCAGATAGTGCCAAGGCCTTACCAGCCCACTCCAAAGTAGTGTCCCAGTCACCCCATCTCGCTTCCACATCTCGATACTCTCACCCAACACTGGGCACTGCACAGTCAAAAATGAGTACAGTTCATGTTCCTGACCATTGATCTGCCATCAATTTTTTCCAAGCCTGAGGCATGCGATTATCTGCAAAGCTGACTTACAAGATAAAATCCCCAGGCCTCTCCCCTTCCCCTCCTCCTCCAACAAGCAGACATTGATTTTACACAGAATGTGCATGGCTTTGATGCTGTTATTGCAATCAACATGAAAAATACCACCACAGTGCTTATCCGGACGTCTCAGTTGTTTTGCCTCATAGCACAAGTGATTGTTTAAAGAGGCTTGACACTGTTGGAGTCTTTTGTTTTATGGATTTTGCAAAGCATTGCTCTTTGTCTTTTGGGCTAGCAGAAGAGAGAGCTCTTTTTTCAAGGCAATGGGCAGTGCTTTTAGAAAATAGGATCCAAGGTGTGGACTGCTTCAGGGGTATCTTTAGCTCTCACACTTATGTGCAATTTTTCCTAAGGAAAGGCTGCACCTACCTGGTCTGTACCTTTAACTTCCTTCTTCTGGCCAGATTACCCTCTGAACGTTGACCCCCATCTGTTCACCATGATATTCTGCCATCCTTATTCCATCCTGATCCTAAGCAACTAAACAGGCTGTCTTTGCCCCCCTCTCAGTTTTATCTCTCTACCTCTCTCTTTCTCTACCTCACAGCTGACCAATTATCTGACTCATCTGATCCCCAGCAAAAATAAACAAAGAAACTTGGCACAAGCACCATTCACTTGCTACCCCCCCCAAGCAGGCAAAAAGCCAGAGGCTGAAACTCCCCCTTCTCTTCCCTGCTTGTAGCAACACAGGCACTTGTACCATTCTGTTCACCCACCTCTCCCATCAGAATGGGACCCCCGGAAGGCAGAAACTGTTAGACATGTTTTCTGCACTTTTCTTGGCTTGTTGCCCAATTAGTGCTGACTTTGAATTACAGGGAGAAATAGGGTGAAGGTAAGGATTTAACTGGAAAATTGTGAGGTCATATATCTGAGAACGATTGCTAAATTCTCAAGAAGGTTATTTCAACATAGGCACTATTGACACATAGGACCAGATACCTTTTTGTTGTGGGAGGATGTTCTGTGCATTATAGGACATTTTATCAACATCTAAAAATGTCTTCAGATATTACCAAATATCCCATGGGGGGCAAAATCACCCTGGTAAGAGCCACTGCCCTAGTGTATCATGGGCTTATGAAACTGACAATGCTAACACCATGTTCATGAAAAGACGTTAGCGTTAGGAGAAAATGAGCTGTAGGGTTTCCAACATAGGATCATTTCACATCATGCCTTTCCTTACTTCTAGTCACCACATGACTCCCTACCAAACCACATAATGATTTTGACCCACCCACCCTTCTGAGAATCAGCATGAAACCATGCATTCCTATTGACCCATGGAACATCAAAACTTCCGGCTTTAAATTTCATCCCTGAATTTATTAGTCAGTGTTTGGGTCCAACTTAGGGTTCACAGCTTCTTAGAGTAGATATAGAGAGCAAAGCTGGAAATTCCTGGATAATAGCCTTAGAGAAACAGATCTAGGCTTAGAATCAAGGCAAGTGGTTATGGGGCCCAGATCTTCCCCTGGGTGCCATGGGGCATCTCCTCTTCCCTCCATGGGCTAGGCTTCTTTAGCTTTCATTCCACGGAAAAGGGCAGAAAAAGAAGAGAATGCATCAGACCAAGAGTTTGCTAAAGGTTATCTCAGGAGCCACATTAGGAGATGAGAGAAAACATGAGATGAAAGATTCCAGGCTGCCCCTTGAATCAAAGCCAATCAGAGTAATTTTCCTCTTAACTATTCTACATACTGGGCTTCTGGGTTAAATGTCCTTCCCACCCAAAAGAGTGTTTTAAGATTAAACATGCCCGTGTATGTGCGTGTATGTGTGTGTATAGATACATATGTTATTGTTATTAAAGACTTAAAACCACTAGACTTGATAACCTCAATGAACCCATCTAGTTCCAATATTCTAGAAAAACTCTCAACATAGAAATAATTTTATGTACAAAAATGCTTCAATGGCCACTAAAAGTCAGACTTGGGGAGTGCAGGAATTTGACCCATTCCTCCTTCACTTTACCCGTGGCCACAAAATCCCTAGGTGGCCCCATGGAAAAGGACCAAAAATAAGGTGCATTTTGGAAAGCCTGAATTTAAAGAATAAGGGGGAGGGCAGTGAGGGTACAGAGGGAAGGTTGAGGGTTTACCACATTTTTTTCCTCCACCATACTCCTCTCCCCCAGCCCCTTTGCCTATTTGCTCAGAGCTTGCAGCCTCCATCTAGCAGTGCAGGCAACATTTCAGCTTCCCCTAGCCCCTCCAAGCCTCTGAAGAGGACTGGAGCCCTCGAACTTATTTCTGAAGCCGGAGCTCTTGATAGCAGGCCAGCCGGGCAGCCCTGACTGCACAGACTTCTCCCTGAACCCCGTGGTCCTCCTGTTTTATTAATACTGCACATAACGAGCAGATGCAGCCTGAGTGGCAGCTACAAAGACACTCATCTCCTAAAATGTGATATTTGATCACAGGAGGATTTTGCGGTGGGATAGCTTATAATCCTAAATTTAAATGCTTCCCGAATTTCAGAGGTTCCAGTATTAAAATCCTTTTAGGATTTTTCAAAGTGTGTAATCTGTTTAGAATTTTTTAAGAACTCTCTGGCCCATTCTTTCTCCAAAAATAGGCCTGTTACATTTTTAACTTCTTTAAAAAAAAAAGAGAGAAATAAAGAAATGTCTTTTTAAAAAATTATTTTGTTGTTTATTTGACTTAAGGGGCAACCGTTTCTAAGACATCCAATGAGATATTCTTACTAAAATGAAGTGAAACTTCTTTCAGTGACTGCAAATAAAACTAGAAGAAACATTTATTTTAAAAGGGATTAAGGAGAGAGAGAAATAAGAAATTATGCTAAGGGAAAACAAAAAAATAGAAGTACACCAGAAACAAATACAGAACTCTCTTCTTCCTTCCTCTAAAACTCCCCATAACACCACGGAAAAGAGCAGGCTGGTGGCTTATTATAATTAAAGTGATATAGATTAAAGTGTGCAGAATAAGTGTTCCCTTGAGTCCAAGAGGTGCTGAATGAATGAAAGGGAGGAGGAAGTGGGGGGAGCAGAGAACGAAGATGAAGGGAGAGAGAACCAAGGAGACTAGGCAGCTATTGCCCATGCTCAGCTATCTAAGCAAACCTCAACCCAGGGTAGACCTGGGACTTTCCTGGCTACTGAACAAGTTAGAAAAGTGTCCTCAAAGACAGTCTACAGGTAGAGATTTCCTCAGAATGGCTGAACCTCATGGACAAATTTTTCCATGTGATTTTCATTCCATTTTCATCATCTGTTATAACATAAAATTTCATCAACTGTAAATGTCAGTTCTTCCCTTTATTATTTGCTAATGTCATAAAAATCTGAATTGTTTGCTTTGTTAAAGGGCTTGCTGGGCATTGACTTTTCCTTATTTGTACTTTACCACCCCAAATGTGTGGGGTTTATTTATTAAAAAAAAATAACATCCCTTTTGAAATGGGATTTAAATAACAGAGCAAGGTTTGCCATTATCATAAATGTATAAAGTGCTTTGTGAGTAATAAAATGGATCATGGATTCAGGATAATTCAAACTGAAATGTTATGTTCAGTATCAAGATTAGATTACGTTAATGCAGTTCATTTTAAATGGTTTAAAGGCCATCAGATGCATGTGAAAAGAATCTGTATCATAACTTAGAATAAATAGACTGAGACATTTGTTTATAATGTCAGTGCTAAACAAATCTATTACTACATTTCTGCATGTTGCGTTATATTACCACTGCTATTAAACAAACAGAGCATGAAGATAAATTATAGCTTTAATTATAAACATTACCTTTGCGTATTTATTAATTTAAAATGGAACAGTGTTCAATAACCTTAGGTTATTTATATCAGCTAACATTTTAATTAACTTTGTTGTATTTATGCGACTTGGTAATTGTTGCTACCAGGCACATGTAGCTCCTTGAATAATGGAGGCAATCTAACCTATCCCTGTGAATATTACCCATTAAATGAGATGGTAACATTGTAACTCCTGCCAGAGAGTCAGACTCTGCTGCTCAGCTCCCTGGGTGAGGAGCCCTAAGGCTGCAAAACTTGACTTTCTCCTTGGAAACCACTGACAGGGAGCACCTTGAATTCCCGGACAGACTGTAAAGAAAGGTGGCAGAGGGGACAGACTGTAATTATCCTGTGAATTAAGAATAGTAAGCATCTTTCAAAGAGGTTGAGCTGGAGAACCATCCTTGTTGAGCAAGTGTCCAGAGACCATGGTCCTTCCACAATTGTGTTCCAATTAAATATACCCATCACAGGCATGAATCTCAGTCATAAACCTCAGACAGGCAATGACTATCACAATTCTGTATTTTTCATTCATCCTCTTAAATTTTTCCCCTAAGCCCTCATTGCATGATTGATGGACAAGCCTTTCTCAGTCTTGGCTGGAGTTATACCACAATTCTGAAAGTAGAACAAAAAGCGGGGAAGCGCTTAGACCACAGCCCACCATGTTTTCTGCTGATAATCTCTTTGCTTGCTTTTCCATTGGTTTTTTTGGAGCCTGGTTGCTACCCACTTTCATGCCATGAAAGGTCTGTGAAAGCCGTACAGTGACTGAGAACCCTCTTCTCCCTAGTGAGATCCTGTACAGTCACACACGGCACAATGGTGTTTCGGTAAATGATGGACCACATATATGTCAGTGATTCTGTAAGATTATAATACTGTATTTTTACTGTACCTTTTCTGTGGTTAGATATACAAATACTACAATCGTGTTACAATTGCCTGCAGGATTCAGTACAGTCACATGCCTAGGAGCAATAGGTTACACCACACAGCCTAGGTGTGTAGCAGGCTACACCATCCATGTTCATTAAGTGCACTCTATGATGTTCACACCATGACAAAATCTAAAGATGCATTTCTCAGAGCACATCCCCCTCGTTAAATGATACATGACAGTAGTCATGCCCTCTAAGCTTGCCTACTCCTTGAGGCATGAATCGGAGCAGCACTTGGGTCAACCCTCCCAGGCCACATCCACAGCTCTCTCCTCCATCCAAACCCAGGGGAATCTCCACTCTCTCCTGTATTCCCACAGCTTTCTGCCTCTTCCCTAAAACATGCTTTTATTTTGTCATTTTCATGATAGATGCATCAGCCCATTAAATGTGAAGACCAAAGTGTTCAAAACACAAAAATGTGTTCCCTGTTCTCAAGGGCAGTGGGGGCTTAATATTTTTATTTTTAAATTTTTAACTTTTTAAACTTTTATTTCAGGTTCAGGGATACATATGGAGGTTTCTTACACAGGTAAACTCATGGCACTGGGGTTTGTTGTACAGATTATTTTATCACCCAGGTACTAAGCCTAGTACCCAATAGTTATTTTTCTTGATCCTCCCACTCTGCACCCTCAGGTTGGCCCCAGTGTCAGTTTTTCCCCTCTTTGCATCCATGTGTTCTTGTTATTTAACTCTTATTTATAAGTGAGAACATGCGGTATTTGGTTTTCTGTTCCTGCATTACTTTGCTAAACATAATGGCCTCCAGCTCCATCTGTGTTCCTGCAAAGGACAGGATCTCTTTCTTTTTTATGGAGGGCTTAATCTTCATATGCCACATCAAACTCCAAGTAACCAGGGGAGAGAAGAATGTATGACTCTGCAGGAATATGAAAAAGAGCCTTCTCTCTAAACCTTTGTCCATCACATTTGTGTCCCGCCACATCCTTTACTCTCTCAACCCCAGTAGCTGCAACTCTACTCAAAGGGCCTTACATATAAATATTATATGTATTATATTTATACATATAATGAAATATTATTCTGCCTTAAAAAGGAAGGAAATTCAGATATATGCTACAATATGGATGAACCTTAAGAACATAATGCTAAGTGATATAAGGCAGTCACAAAAAGACAAATACTGTATGATTGCACTTGTATGGGGTAGTTAGAGTGGTTAAATTCATAGAGATAGAAAACAGAGTGGTGGTTGCCAGGGCTGGGGGGAGGGAGAAATGTGGAGTAGTTAATGTTTAATGGGTACAGAGTTTCAGTTTTACAAGATGAAAAGAGTTCTGGAAATGAATGGTGGTGATGACTGTACAATATTATGAATGTATTTAATACCACTGAACTATACATTTAAAAATAGTTAAGATGTTAAATTTTATGTTACTGTATTTTACCACAATAAAAAAATAAATTGAGCTCCCAACTCTCACCGTATATGAAAATGAACTCTAAATAGATTAAAGACTTAAAACTATGAAACCACTAGAAGAAAACAGGGAAACACTTCATGACATTGGACTAGGCGAGGATTTTTTGGATAAGACTTCAAAAGCACAGGCAACAAATGCAAAAATAGACAAATGGGATTATATCAAACTAAAAAGCTTCTCCACAGCAAAAGAAAGAATCAACAAAATGAGAGACAACCTAAAAATTGGGAGAAAATATTTGCAAACTATGCGTCTGATAAAAGGTTAATATGCAGAATACATAAGGAACCCAAACAACTCAATAGCAATAAAGCAAATAATCCAGTTTTTAAAATGGCCAAAGGACTTGAATAGACATTCCTCAAAGAAGACATACAAATAACCAAGAGGCACATGAAAAAAATGCTCAACATCACTAATCATCAGGGAAATGCAAATCAAACCAACAATGAGCTATCATCTCACCGCAATTAGAATGGCTGTTTTCAAAACAAAAATCACAAATGCCAATGCGGATATAGAGAAAAGGGAAGCCTTATACTCTGTTGGTGAGAATGTAAATTGGTACAGCCATTATGGAAAACACTATGGAAGTTCCTCAAAAAATTAAAAATAAAACTACTGTATGGTCCAGCAATCCCACAACTGGGTATATATACAAAGGACATGAAATCGGTATGTTGGAGATCTATCTGCACTCCCATGTTTACTGAACACTAGTCACAAGAGCCAAGAGATGGAATCAGTCTAAATGTCTATCAACAGATGAATGGATAAAGAAAATGTAGTATATATAACAATGGATTGCTATTAGCTATAAAAAGAGACTAAAATCCTGTCATTTGCGGTGGCATGGATGAATCTGGAAGACATTGTGATAAGTGAAATAAACTAGGTGCAGAAAGACAAATACCGCATGATCTTACTTTTATGTGGAATACAAAAAATTGATCTCATAGAAGTAGAGAGTAGAATAGCAGTTACCAGAGGATCAGGAGGGGAGGGCGGAGGGAAGATGGGAAGAGGTTGGTCAGTTAGGTGGGAGCAATAAGTTCTGGTGCTCTACAACGTAGTAGTGTGACTATAGCTAATAACAATGTATTGCGTATTTCAAGTTTGCTTAGAAAAGATGATTGGAGATGTTAGCGCTACAAATAAATAATAAATGTTGAAGGTGATTGTTGAAGGTGATGGATATGTCAACTACCTTGATTCGGTCATTATACAATGTAGACCTGTATTGAAACATCACACTGTATCCCATAAACATGTACATCTATTATGGGTCAATTTTAAACAAAATTTTAAAAAATAATAATTTTTTAAAAAATGAATGACTCCCACCACAGGTATCAGTCAATCCTGATAGTATAATACAATCTGCAACAATCACTGTCTCCACCTTCAGAAAACAAGCGGGTCAGTCCTAAAGTTCAGCATATCCCAGTGATCTGTAATGGTTCTCACTCTAGTCCTGATATTACAATAATGTCCAGGGCCAAAATGTCCAAAATTCCATAACAAGATTGTGAGGAGATCAAAATGGGACCTCTTTTAAAAGACACACAAGAAGTATTTAAATAAGCAGTCTTCTTTACCTACATATTTTTCATTCCTTTTTCTACCATCCTTGTAAAAAATTCAGCCAAATGATGGAAATGCATACACATTCACATACACTCCAGTTCTCTCCTCCACCCTCCCACTCTCCCTGTTGACTCTATTGTCATTACCTCCATCTAGAAGGTCTGAATTTCATTTTTTCTGCCACTGGCCTATTAGGCAACCTCTGAACATCTTCACTCTAAGATTCTATTTGTTCATCTATGGAATAAGATCAATAATTTAATTCTTACCTACCTTCCCAGAAGGATCACTGTATCCAGTGAAATGTGGCTATGAAGGTATTTGGGGAGAAATAATGACCCATCTAAATAAAAGCAGTTATTTTACTAAAACAAAAAATCATTAGGAGGGCTCCTGAACAGAGTTAGGAAGTTGAGGCTTTATGCTGAATTGAAAATTCTTATTAGACTTGAGAAGTTCTGGAAAGACTCAGTGTAGATTATCCACTGCTTGTTGAGTTATTTATTAAAGATCTATTTTCCAGAAATAATTACAAAATCAGTATTTTCAAATGCTCCCCACCCCGTAGAGTTTTGTTTTTTCAGAACACAAGCATTGGTTCTTGCCAATTGATGGCTCTTGCCAATTGGTGGCTCTTGGGTCCATTTGCCTGCTAGTAACAGTACATTTCTAGGTGTGACCAACTACTTCTGCCTGGCTTCACCCAGTGGGAGACCCTGGAGGATACAGGAGGTCAAGGCAGAGAGAAGTCAGGGTATTCCCTGCCTCTAACTCTACTTTCAGTGATATCTCCAATGTGGGTTGCATCTCTCTCCATGGCCCTAGTTCCCAGCTGGGCAGCCTCTGCCATGGCTTCAGCCTCCATGGACAATCCTGGCACTGGGGCTTTGGTACTGCCACCTGCTCCCATTATTCTTCTAGCCCTAGGTGTGATGGCGTTTTCTGTTGTTGCTACTGTCTGGATTGCCTCAACTTTCCCTGTTTGTCTTTGATACTTTCCCAACCCCCTTATAACCAGTTGCCATTATTAATGTATTCTGTTAGACTACGTGGCATTGGTTGTAATTTATGAATGGATCTTAAGTGTCAGTTTCTCACTTCTGAGCAAGAAGGGAAGAATTACAAATGCAAATTGGGGATCCCCAACATTACACAGAAAGAAAAGTGGTCCTGAAAGGACATGGAAAGGGAGCTATCAACAAGCCAGATGAGAAGTGGAAAACTCCATTCAGTGTTCCTGTGATTCGTCCTCTTTCTCCCATAGTAAATTTATATTTTAATCAATTCCTTCAAGAAATAGAATGTTTAGAAGCCAAATGAATACAAAGCAGGATGGTAGGGAGAAATTTGGAGGATGCCTCTCAAACGCCATCACATGAACACGGCCATCTGCCAGCACCCAGGACACTAGCTGTCTCCTGGACACAGGGTACCCTCAGCCAGGCATATTTTACTCAGTGGCTGGGCCAGGCTGTGTTTATAATCTTAATAACACAGCAGCTTAATCAAGTCAGCCTTACTACCTTAGCTATCATTTAATTGCCTGTGGTTTATATCTTGCATATTCAGTGGTTATGTGATTGAAAACTTAACGATTGAGCCACTTAAGAAAGGAAAAAAAGAAGACAAATATTAACACACATTGCATGAGAAATTCAGATTAAATAGAGTAATTTTACATTTCATCAGATTTTTTTCCAAACTACTGAATAAAGCTTGTGCACACATGCTGGGAGAATATTCTTTCCAACCTGAGCTTAACGGTGTACTTTTCTCCCATCAATAAATCTGCATAGCAGTGCTTATAAAATCATCTAACTAAGTGCACCTCATTAACCTATATTTATCTGTGTTGAGTACCTGGTGATCACTGATGTTTCTAGAATTGATTATCTCCTTCCAGGTGAGTCTGAAAGAACCCTGGGCTGCGAAAACTTTAATAGATCTGTTGACATTTCCAAAGGATTTTGAATTCCAATTTCCCTTCCTTGACCACCAGTTCCCAATCATTTTACTTGTTTCCCTGGGAGTTTCAAATCACTTTATCTTTGCCCCCAAGCAGAATCTGTAACCTAACAGACACATTTGACCTCCCTAGAACCACAACAGAACTTCTGCAGCCCATCAAAATGTGTGGTGGTCTCAATGACAGATGACGCTTACCATAGTCAGGAAGTGAGTAAAAATTAATTGTGCTTTCAGGAACTGTGAGGTGACAGCAGGCTGAACCAAAGGCAGAGTCCATGAAACAAACACCCACTGGCTCAGTTTATGGCCACTCAAGCTTCCTTGGCAGTGTTCATGGCTGACTTAGCATTTGGATGCTCCATGAGAGCAGGGACCCTTTCTGTTCCCCACAGTGCTCAAACATCACTCATTGAATGAACTAATGAAACTTAAATTGTACAAATGTAACATAAATATGTTATGTAACATAAATATCTGAATGGGAATACTAAACACAGACTACAAACTTTCCAATCCAAAGAGTCTTAGAAATCATCTATGCCCCTACCTTCCCTTTGGAGGTAATTACGGCATCAGAATTAGCCTCTGGAATCAAACAACTTGCTGCACATATAAAAGCTATGTCTCTGGGCGAGCGAGTTAACTTCTCTAAGACTCAGTTTCCTCATCTTTGAAATGGGCATAATAATGGTAGGTAATAGCATATGTTAAACAAAAAGAAGAGTGGCCAGCCCTCAATATCTGTTAATTACTGTTACCTAGGTCAGTAGGTAATCAGGTCAGGGAATTTGGTTTCATTTAGTTTAGATTTTTTTAAAAAAACATAGAAACTTATTTTTCCCAGACAAAGTCTTGATAGAGAAAGACCTCATAATATAAAGCAGATTGAAGCAGAATTACCCTGGTAGATACCAGTGGGGGTGAGGAGGCTTAGAACACTTGTCAGTTTCCTTCTTGTACCCTGAGGTGACCCCAGGTTCATCTCCAGTAAGACCTGGAGGAAAACCAAATACTGTATTTGCCTGGATCACTCCTCTCATTCCACAGACAGGGACACTGATGTTCAGAGAGAGGAAGTTATCTGCTTAATATCACACAGCAAGTTTCTGACCCAAGTTTCCTGAATCTTTCTATCCACCTTCCACCACCTCCAGAATCTCATAGCTGGCAGGGCCTTTGAGAGTGGAACAATGTGGTCCTCTCCCTCTGTAATATGCCTCGTTCATGTTGGATGTCTCCCTTATTAGGAATTCTAACACTAGAGAATTCTGGCTGAAATCTGCCTGACTGCAACTTTTGCTCATATGCAGTTATTATTTCAGTACATTATACCAAATAATATCCCGAGATATGCAAAGATAAGTCAATACCACTCATTTAGCAGTGAGGAGACATCCAGGTCCAATGTGAGGACCTGCCCTTTTCTAGTATTCGTAATTATGCAAATAAAGCAAAATGAAAGAGTCACACCCAAGTATCCATTGACAGATGAATGGATAAACAAAACATGGTAAATACATACAATAAAATACTATTCAGCCTTAAAAAGCAAGCACATTCTGACATAATCTACAGTATGAATGGATCTTGAGGACATCATGCCAAATGAAATGAGCCAGTCTCAAAAAGACAAATGTTGTATGATACCACTTACATGAGGTACCTAGAGTAATCAAATTCATAGAAACAAAAAATAGAATGGAGACTACCAACAGCTTGGGGGAAGATGGAATGGAGAGTTATTTTTTAATGGGTACAGAGTTTCCGTTTGGGAAGATGAAAACGTTCTGGAGATGGATGGTGGTGATGGTTGTACAGCAGTGTAAATGCACTTAATGCACTTAATTGTACATTTAACAATGGTTAAAATGGCAAATTACATATTATGTATATTTTACTCCGATAAAAAATACTAAGTTTCTTTTTCAATCCATATCACTGGAGTACACAATGAGAGAAAAATACAAGTGCCTCTCCAACAATAAATCATCTATACTTCTTTTTTTTTTTTCTGAGACGGAGTCTCGCTCTATCTCCCAGGTTGGAGTGCAGTGGCGCCATCTCGGCTCACTACAAGCTCCGCCTCCCGGGTTCACGCCATTCTCCTGCCTCAGCCTCCCGAGTAGCTGGGACTACAGGAGCCCACATCACCCCCGGCTAATTTTTTGTGTTTTTAGTAGAGACAGGGTTTCACCGTGTTAGCCAGGATGGTCTCGATCTCCTGACTTTGTGATCCACCCGCCTCGGCCTCCCAAAGTGCTGGGATTACAGGCGTGAGCCACGGCGCCTGGCCAATCAACTATACTTCTACCCAAGACTGCAATAGGGGTTGGATGAAGTGTACTAGCTGCCAATGCACCTTCCACCAAGTCAAGTCCCCATGAGGAAGGAAGAGCAGAAAGAGCCTGGTCCACTATTAAACCACCAGAAGGCATGTACCAGGGTCACAAGTTCTCCAAGCAAGAATTGGGGCTACTTGTTTCTCCCTCATGTGTATGATGATTTTTTACCATCCCCGGACACATGACATGAAGGAGCTAGATCAGCCTCAACTGGTAATCATTTTTTAGTGTTCATTATTGTAAGACCATTTCTCCAGAAACAACACCAGTCCCCACCCCTGTTGAACTTCTCTAGAGAAGCATAATATAATTGTACACCCTCCCTTCTCTAAGTCCAAATGATCTATCAAAGAACTCTTAGAATTTAACCTCTTCCAGGAAACCTTCCTGGCTTAATCAGAGAAGAAAAAAACGAGGCAATCCAGTGGATATTCAATTTGCTTTTCCTCCCAAGTTGCAATAATGCCTCAATTAATTAGATTCTAAAAAGTTGTGCCATATTTGAGTGGCCACTGGGGCTAAAACGTGAACAATACAAAATTTCTACCCCTAAGGAGACAGGTTAGAAAGAAAGGGAGATAAATAAGCCATTTCTAAGCAAGAGATTTTAAAACTGCGCTAGGGAGCTAAGGGGAAGAAGCACCTCACAGCGCTGCCTCTATAAGGGATTCATAATGGAACATCACAAGTGTATCATACTGGCTCCGTGCTGATCACAGAGTAGAAGCTTGGTCAATACTTGCTGATTATCTCTTCCGCTACCTTTAAGTAAGTTTAGAATATGTCCTCCCCTTAAGTGAGTCTCCTTGAAAATTTAAATGGCTGTTTTTCTATGTTTACCTTTCCCAATAATGTTTAGTATCATCTTGAGTCTTGCTCCAAAACAATATAACCCCCAAAAAGTTCTTATCGGAATTTTCATTGAAATTGTATGCAACATATGAATTAATGTGGAAGAAACTGAACACTATCAGTTCTTCTCATTAAAGAGTCAAGTATGATATCCCATTTATTCAAATATTTTCTAAACTACAAAGTTTCTATGCTAAGAAATTGTATGGTTTTCTTAAACAGATGTTGCATATTTGTTATTATCTTTATTTCTTGGTGTTTATTATTTGTGTAAATGTGGTTAATTATTGTTATTTTAACTGATTATTTCCCAAATTTAGGAAAGCACATAATTATTTTTATTCTAGTCTGATATTTGTATTGATCTCTATTATTGGTCTTGATGGATTTTTATTTGCTTCATATGTGAGACGTTTTATGTACGTAATAATATACTATGCATGTGTATATATGGATGTATTATACCAAGGATGATTATATTCTTTCCAATATTTATACCTCATTTCTTTTTCATATCTTGTTTCATTGGCCAAGATTCCCAAATATTGAATAATATTGGTGATTGCCAACATCTTTAACTTATTGTTGATTTTAATGGGACTATCTAGGGTTTTACTGTGAAATCTATTACCCATTGTTTGTTTTAAAGCTTTCTATATATTTGAATGTATGTTACTCAACTCTAGGAAGAGAAAATTATGCATAGAATTTAGAGCAATAACACTGTAATACCCTCAGTTTTCTGACAAGGACATAAGTTATAGTATTTCCCTGGACTTGCTAAGATGAGAAAATAACACATACTCCTTAGGAAACATTTCAAAAATAAAAAGTTTAAAAGCAATAGAATTTTCCGAATGATGCTTATTTAATTCAAAAATTTAAAATATGTAGAATTAGCCAACTTTTGATGCTGGCAAACAGGAAAAACTTGTCTTCTTGAGCAAATTACTGATTCTCTGAACCATAAATTTTTCACAATTGAAAAACAGTACTATCCCACCTCCTATGATTGTTTTTAAGATTACCCACCTCCTATGATTGTTTTTAAGATTAAGTGAGATACAACACATTTATATATATACTGCTTATATTAAGCACACAATACATTTTAGCTCTTTTCCTTTAGTCAAGCTTCTTATACATAATAATCACTGTATAAATATGTATGGAAAGAAATAAAATTTAGCATTCAATACATTTAACCTTGATAGACTCTAATTACTCACCATCCATTTTTTTCTACAGTAGACTCAGATTCAACACACACATTTTGAGCAGCTGTTACATTCCAAGTACACTGTGCTAGTCCATTTTACATGTGTTCTCTAACAAAAACCTAACAGTAGATTTTAGATTACATAGTTGGAGAGGTATATTAGTCCATGCTCATGCTGCTATGAAGAAATACCAGAGATTGGGTAATTTGTAAAGAAAAGAGGTTTAATTGACTCACAGTTCTGCATGGCTGGGGAGGCCTCAGGAAACTTAAAGTCATGGTGGGAGGCACCTCTTCACAGGGCCACAGAAGAGAGAAATGACAGCAAGCAAGGGAAATGCCAGATGCTTATAAAACCATCAGATCTCGTGAGAACTCACTCACTATCATGAGAACAGCGTGGGGGAAACTGTCCCCATGATTCAATTACCTCCATTTTGTCCTGCCTTTGACCTGTGGGAATTATTACAATTCAAGGTGAGATTTGGGTAGGGACACAGAATCAAACCATATCAAGAGGTCTCCATGATTCTTCCTGTATGTTGTTCAGTACTGAATTGTTTACAATTAAGAAATCAATGCTTTTTGGATGACAATCATTTGGAAAGCTCAGAGAATCTGAGTTGGAAGGGATGAAGGAAAAACTAGAGGAAAGGGGAGTTGTCCCCACTGTATCATGATTGATGTGGGTGTTAATAAGTGTGCATTTATTTTTTAAATGCAAAAAGACATTTGTTAAGCATCTGTCATTTGTTATGTGCCTGGCAATGTCTAGGCACTAGACATGTAGCTCTATTCAACAGTGACAAGGTTCCTGCTCTCTCAGAGCTTAACTCTTGCACAAGAGACATCCAAAAATGCATAAAGAATTGAACAAGATAATCTAGATAGCGATAAATGTTGTAAAGAAAACAAAACAGGGTGGTGTGATGAAGAGTGCCAGAGGGATGTTTCATGAAAGGCCCCTTAAAGAGTGCAATCTGAGCAGAGACCAAGGAGATGACAATAATTTGGAGGGTTCTTGGGCAAGTGTGACTCAGCCAGAAAAAAAGTATAAAAATCTTAAGGAAGGAAAGAAACTGGCATGTTATAAGAATATATAGAGGTCTTTAGAATGAGAAATCATTATTTGCAACATGCCTGGGCTTTTGGCATGTCAACTCAAGAGCCACATGTGTCATAGGTCAGACTGTATCAATATTTTGCTCATAACCCTCTTAGAGCACCTTCTTTCACTCAGGGTAAAGGCCAAAGCGCTTCAATGCTCTCCACGTGATTTGCTCCACTGGGAGCTCTTTGACCTCATATCTACTGCTCTCGTTCTCTTGTTTACATGACTCTAGCCACACAGGCCTCCTTGTTGTTTCCTGAGCATGTCAGGCAAGCATCTACCTCAGGATCTTTACACTTCCTGTTTCCAATATCTGGAAATCCCTTCTCCAAGATACTCATTTGGCTGCCTCTTTTAGTGTCCTTGAGGTCTCTACTCAAACATTATATTCTCAAAGAAGTCCTCCCTATTAGTTTGTCTAGAGGCCAATATGCCTTGGTCTGGTCTTCGTCATGTGTCTAAATTTTTTTAACATGCTATTGGTTCATATTAAACCTATGGGCAGCCAAAACTCTAGGGCCTTTTTTTATATAAAGGACTTACCTAATTAGCCATCCTCCACTCTGATTTTGGGGACTGGAAATAAAGTTAATGCTTATGTCAGTCATCTTAATTTGGGCCTGCCTATACATCAACACAGCTACCAGTATAACTAAACAAAACAATACAGACCAAAAAACCCATGTGATTACACTGCTTCCTTGCTTAAAACTCTTTCATGGCTTCCCATTTGCAATTAGATTGAAGTGCAAATCTTTACATTGGCTTCACAGCCCAACCTAACCAGAGGCCTGCATCCTTCCCTGCCCTTGTGTCTTTCCACTCCCTCCTTTTCCCTCTACCCTGAAGCCTCCTTAATTTTCAGGCTGCTCCTCAAGCTCTCCCAGCTCATTCCCTCCTTATGGGCCATCTATGTAGGTTTTCTCCCTGTTCTTGACCAGGCTAGCTCTTCTTGGCTTTTAGATCTCAGCTTTTTTTTTTTTTCTCGGAAAGACCTTCCCAGAGCCAATTCTCTGGTCTCTATCACCCACTTTAATTATTTTCAGAGAGATACCATATTCAGGTGAGGTTGTCCATTTGTGTGTAAACTACCAATCTCCCCAACTAGAATGAAAGATCTTTGGGGACAGGGTCTTTGTCTGCTATATCCCCAGATCCTGGAGGAATGCCTGCCATGTAGCAGGTTCTCAATAAATATTGATGACAGCAGAACACTCATCAGCCTTCACTTCCCCACCTTGTCAAGAAACCAGGTCAAGGGATGTTAAGATACACTAGTCTATTGCATTCTCTTGAATTACCAGTCTAATAATTATATTGTTAAAAGAGAGAGAAAGAAATGAAATTAGTTCTGCATAACTTATTAGCTCCTGATCATTGCATTCTTTACTTAATGCTAAGAAACTAGCTGTTTAGTAATATATTTTTCCTTTATTGTTTCTTAAATTACAAAAGCAATGCATGGTCATTGAGAGAAATTCTAATAACACAGAGGCGTATAAAGAAAATGATGTCTATCTTCTCTTTCACTTCCCAGATGTAACTCTGTTAACAGCTTAATGAATAATACCCTTCTTTCTTCTATACATATACATATACATATACATATACATATACATATACATATACATATACATATACATAGATGTATGCTCCTATACATATGTAGTTTTAAGACAAAAATAGGATATATGTGTGTGTGAGTGTATGTGTGTATATCCACTTACCATATGGTAGGCGTCTTTCTATGTCCATACAGATTGATCTACTTTATATTTAGTGACTACATAGAATTCGGTTGTATTAAGTGATTTATTTATTCAAAATATATTTAATTATCCTGTGAGCAAAGACATAAAAATGTGGGGGTATTGATAAACAAGAATAGCAAAATATTGAGAATTGTTACAGCCTAGTGTTAGACACATGGAGTTTATGATACTATTCTCTCTACTTTTATGTATATTTGAAAGTTTCCATAAAAGTTAAATTTAAAAAGAAATACTTAATAAACTTCATATTTAATGATGAGTTACTGAACACTTTCCTCTGAGATCAAAAGCAAATAAAGATGCCTGATATCACCACTCCAACATTGTAAGGAAGTTTCTAAGCACTATAATAAGGCAAGAAAATAAAGGCATAAGAATTAAAAAGAAATGAAACAGCCATCATTCATGGATGACACAGTTTCATATAAGGAAAATCCAAAAGTATCTACAAAATATTAAAATTAATTAGTGAACTGAATAACGTCTCAGGACACAAGGTTAATACATAAAACTTAATTGTATTACAATATGCCAGCAACCAAGAAAAAGAAAATAATTTTTTAAAGACATTAAAAATACCAGGAATAAATGTAATGGAAGATAAATATGACTTCTTTGGTGAAAACGACATACCACTGAGACAAATTAAAGATAATCTAAACACAATTACTTACTAAACACTATTATGTTATATGCCAGATACTGCTAGATTGAGGATGTAGTGATAAGTGAAAACAGACACATTCTTTGCCCTTCATTAGATAACCATGCAAATTAATGTAGTATTGTAAATGTAGGAAGGATTACAGGGGATGCACACAGGGCGGTAAGAGCTTTGGAAATGGAATTTGACCAGTCAAATAACCAGGGAAGACTTCTTGAGCTGAGCCCCAAAGGAAAAAAATGAGTTAAACAGATGAAAAAAGCATTCTAAACACAGAAAAGAGCACATGGAAAGCCTATAGGTAAAGACCAACTATGAACCATAATTGAATCAACAATTCTTGGTATTGATGGCTATTTAGGTTTTGTGGTAGATGTCTGCCAAAGAGTTTTCACCAACCTGATGTTTTTGTAAGAAAAGAAAGAAAGAAAGAGAAAGAAAGAAAGATAAGAAAGAAAGAAGAAAGAAAGAAAGAAAGAAAGAAAGAAAGAAAGAAAGAAAGAAAGAAAGAAAGAGAAAGAAAGAAAGAGAAAAAGAAAGAAAGAAAATAATAGAAAATAAAAGGAGGAAGTAAAGAAAGAAAGGCAAGGAAGGAAGGAAAGAAAGTTAATAAAATGGTTATTGTTTTGGGCTACATTGTGTGGCTAGTTATTACCAGAAAAAGCTAACTAATGCAGGTTGGCTCAAGTTTTCTGGTTTTAGAAGCAATGCTTTAAGGAATGTCTTTGCATATATATCCTGGTGCACCTGATAGAGAGCAAGCCCTCATAATTGAGACTAAGGTAACTTAGGAAGTTGCACACATGAGGAAACTGACACACAGCTAAAGTAAACAGTAATATCAAACTCACACATGGGAAGGAAGATATTTGGAATTAGTAGCCAGGTCTTCAAATCCCAATGTAACATTCATTCAAACCTAACATCCTCTTATTGATGGAGAAAAAGCAACACGTTTTTCAAAGTCAAATATTAAAGCCAGGCATGGTGGACTCATGCCTTTAATCCCAGCACTTTGGAAGGCCAAACCAGGAGGATTGCTTGAGCTCAGGAATTTGATACTAGCCTGGGCAACAAAGCAAGATCCCATCTCTACAAAAATAAAATAAAATAATTAGCCATGTTTAGTGGCTCACACGTGAAGTCCTGGCTACTCGGGAGGCCAAGGCAGGAAGATCACTTGAGCCCAGGAGATCTAGGCTGCAGTGAGCCATGATCTTGCCACTGTACTCCAACCTGGGCAACATAATGAGACTTTGTCTCAAAAAAAAATTAAAGAAGTTCAAATTCAGTTTTCTGGGTTATAACAAGCCTACATTTTTTAACCTGTGTCCTTTAATCTTGACAACAAACTTGAGCTTGTCAGGCTTTTAGGAAAAGAGTTCCAATAATAAGACCACTGGGAAGGCTGGATTCAATTTCAATACAGAAATATTGCTGTCCCCTAGGAACAAAATGTAATTGACATAATTCCCCTGACCTGATTGGTCTAATACTGGCCACGCATTGTAAAGGGTTAAACAAAGATTACAAGCTCTCTTTTGCAGGGGATGGTAAAGTTTATTATTTTTTTGCCCAGTCTGAGGAAGTATAAAAATATTATTTTCCTGGAACTTGGAAGGAGAGTTTGGCAGACAGTATGAATTTCAGGAAAATATTTTTGTCATTAATTATGTCATAAGCAAAAGAGTAAAATAAACTGTTTATTATCACATATAAAATGCTTTTGATCAGTCAACTGAAAAACTAATTTCGTTTTCTCATTACACTGCCTCAGGCATTCTTTAACGTCAATTTTTATTATAGCAAAAGCAAGGAAATTAAAATGATCAGTATGGTACAGAGAGAAACATTTGCTTCAAAATTTTTAAAGGTAAGAATAACAAAGCACTGAACCTCTTTATCATTCATAATAATCACAACTGATCTACAGAGGGGGTAATTCTACTCCAAGGGTCTAGAGGATCATCTAATCATAACCCTCTTTGAGCCCCATGGGACCCTCAGGGTGGGTCAGTACTGAGACAGATGCTAGGGGTCCTGTTACGTATGTGTCTAGAAAAAATGGAGTTAAATTTCCAGCCCAATTGGGCCTCCATAGACGGATCAGGGTAGAAGGGGGCTATACTAACACCCAGAGAAGCTAAAGAAGAATGCTATGCAAAGGGTTGAGGAAGGATGGGCTTGATTTCCATCCGTTGGCCCAGCAGTTTATGTTGTGGAAAGAAATAATTTTAAAAAGAAAAAATGTTAGGTGACAGGTTTTCCAAACTTGTCCCAGTCCCTTAAAAACTCTGTGGGGAAGGGGGCACGGCGGGGGGCATTCTGAGACTGAGTGTCCTGGCTCAACACAGTGTTCCGAAGCACCAACAAGGCTATGTATGTGAAAGCACTTCGTAAAGTAATAATCAAAGGCTGTTTAACAATGACCATTAGCATCCTAGAATGCCTTGGCTGAGGTGGACCTGGGACTTGGGTGCTTCTTGTGGAGAACCGTTGACATTGAATGGCTCTCTTGCTTTTTAGCTATAGGAAGAGGAAGGTATTCTGGTGAAGGGTTGATGGGAAGGAGAGAAAGAAGTCTTTGGTAATGGTGTGACAGCAGAGTCTCTGGTCCCTCATCAGCCTGAATGATCTGATTGACAGCCCTGTGGAAGAAGGAATAGGAAAAACCAAAAGAGGCATGGCTCCATGAGACATGGAGTGAAAGTCCTAATCCAGGGCATGGATAGTAAGGTTGTTGAGGGTCCCTAGTCCTTTCTGAGCCACTGCTCCATGCGTACTGTGGAACAGACAGCCTGACATGGTTACATTTCATGAAACAGAGGTGGTGATGGAAATCTTGAGAAGATGGCAAAGGCAGGAAGAAATGAGTTCACTTGCTCTTGATTAAACAAATTTTCTGCCCCAAACCTGGGCATGCCCTAAAAAGCTCAGTTAGAGTTCCCTTATTATGACTGTTATGACTGTAAGACTTATGACCTAAGGCCAAGCAACCTGTACACTCTAGCTACCCACAGACACCGTGGAGAAGGCACTGTCTTCTGTAGAGAGCATTGAACAGGCCTCCCCACTTTCCCAAGACTCCCAACAGAGATAAGGGATTTCAAGCCTGTATGCTCTAAGCAGCTCTGCCTGCCAGGTGAGAGAAAATAAGTCTCAAATAGACTTTGCTTTTAAGGATAAGTCAATCCACCAGGGAGTCCAAATGTAGCGAGCAAAGAGAAAACACTACATAACTATGTGGCTCCAGGTAAGAAAGAGGGACAATGTCGGGGAGGGTCTTCTGAGAGGAAATTTGGCTTAAAGAAGGATAAAGCACATTCTAGCATATAATATCTTTTTCTTTCTGTTTCTGAGTTGTTTCACTTAAAATAATGACCTCCAATTCGATCCATGTTGCTGCAAAAGACATGATTTTATTCTTTTTTGTGGCTGAATAATATTTCTTTGTGTATATACACCATGTTTTCTTTATCCAGTCATCCATTGGTGGACATTCAGGTTAATTCCAATCTTTGCTCCTGTAAATAGTGCTGCAATGAACATACAAGTGCATGTACTTGCACAGCATAAGATTATACAAATAAAATTTTAAAATCTGTATGTGCAAAATTTTCATAATAAATCCAAGGCAGAGAAAAGACCTTATTCTATTCTTGATAATGATTTATTTTCCTTTTGCCCCACTTGCCTCTGAGAAGCCTGTGCTAACTGTGCTCTTACCATGAACTCTAAGGAGGAAATTGCCAATGAGTCACCATATCCAGCCACTCAAGTGATAAGGCTAGTTAGCTGTCCTTATCTCTCAGCTTTGCCTTCCTCACCATTGGCTCCATTCTCGGGCACATTCTCCCATGTGTAAGTAAGATGGCACCAGGAGTTCCAATATGGCATGCTTCCAGCATCAAGAGAAAGAGGGCTTCTCTTTTCTAACAGTTCAAACACAAGTTCTAGAATCCAGTCCCTTTGGGCCTGGATGACCTCACTCGCATGGGTCAGGTGCTCATAAGAAGCAATTGCTAGTCCAGGACAACACGATATCCTGATTGGCCAGGTGCAGGTCACCTGACCTATTCTGGGCTGTGGTACAGTTAGTTCCTCCACAAAATAAATGAAAAGATGACCCTATACAATTGACAATAAAATTCCACACAAATTGTACAGAGGAAAAATGGAGAAAAGATTCAATGGAAAGATGGCATCTGAAGAAGGCACCCATCAAAGGCCCTTCTTGCTAAATCAAGCCTGTTTGATGACAGCTAGTTGCCTGGAGTTCAGGGTTTTCTCTCAGACCAAGTCAAGACTCAGATCCTCCTAACAGCATCATAAACCCTACTCCTTAGGCCATTCGTGAACAATTAGACATTATTATTTAGCAGTAAACTATTGATGTACTGGAACTGTTTTCAAATTTGGAAGTGCTTGGGCTTGTCTTGCCTTCTTAAGTTAATCATGATACGTATGGATACATATGGACTAAAACTGAGAAAAGGGTGGTTCCTCAAGAAAAATAAGAGTGCCCTTACTGGGAAGGGATGGCAGAGAAGCAAAAATCAGCAGATGGTTCTGTAAGCACCGACAGCTATGTTTAACCTTTTCCAAGCTTTCTTTAGGGCTTGGTTTGGAGCAGGGAGGAGGTCTCAGGGCAGATCCTGGATCTCCTCATGCCTGTGGCATTTGACAGGCACAGGCAGGTATCAGGTAAGTACAGGACAGCCCTGTTTTCCTCCAGCCAAGATAACCCAGCCAGATGAAAGGACAAGGCATCCAGCTGCCTCTCAGTAATCCCTCAGCCCATTTGGTAACCATCTGTCCTTCTCATTTCCAAATTTGGCCCAAATTAAAGGAGCCTGTATTTGCTTTTTTGGAAAATGTTATGATTTTTTCAAGTAAACAGTAGAAAGTGTATAAAGCCATGAGATTTATTGAAACTGCCAAACTGTCTGGACTTGATCAAACTGGTTTATGCTGGCTTAAATGTGTGTTCTATTCTCTCCATTTTATTATCATAAACAACAATTCCTATTTATTTAGACAGGACCAGAACTTCTCTTTATGTTTTTCACATATTATTTCATTTGATCCCACATATGGAACAAAGGTCAGTACTACTGTCAGGCCCAGTTTATGGATGGCAGCATTGGCAACCTAAATGATTAAGCGTTTCCAGAACTCAATTCAGTGGCAGGCATGCGGGGTTCTGAGCCCAGCTCTTCTGGTAGAAGACTGTGTTCCTTCTGGTGTATCCTGTCGTACCTGAACTCAGCCCACAACCATAACACCAATCACACACCCTCTGCCTCATTCTTTACCAATTCAATATTAAAAAGAAGAAAAGAAGGAATAAATTTAAAAATCATTCACTCATTGTCCACACCTGGGATTTGTGCTACTTACAACCTGGACAGCCCAGGTCATTATATTCAATTGACAGTTTTATTGCTTCTATGGAAAAAACAAAAACCACTGTCCTAGATACTCTGTTAAGATACACAGATAAATAAGAAATGTTACTTATCTTCAAAATCTTGATGTCTAGTTGTGGACACAAGACTAATTTGAGAAAAAGATTAAAAATCTAAATACAGTTTAAAATTTTATTTTAAAAAATAAAAATTTAGGTAGACAGATTGATCCATAGATACCACAGAGAGGTAAAAGAGCTTGAGACAAAATAAATGAAATGGTGACCTTATATGATTTGTGATAAAATCCCACACTAACTATACAGAGGAAAAATGGAGAAAGGGTTGAATGGCAAGATGGCATCTGACAAAGTCACCCTTCAAAGGCCCTTCTTGCCAAATCAAACCTGTTCGATGACAGCTAATTGCTTGAATTCAGGATTTCTCAAAGATCAGGTCAAGAATTGGACCCTCCTAAATGCATTGTAAACCCTAGTCCTTAGGTCATTTGTGAACAATTAGACATTGTTACTTAGCAGTTAGTTAATGACGTCCTGGACTGTTCTCAAATTTGGAAGTGCTTGGGCTCGTCTTATTAATCATAAGCCTCAGCAGTTCAGAAACCTTGTTCTCTATCTTCCCTGCCCCTTTTTCACCATGCCTAGCAAGAGTTTATATTCATAGCCAAAGCTAAATACTATAAACTGGTGTTAATATTTACTGGAAATAAAGTTAATTTAGCTAATGAGCTCTAAATACAGTATATAGCTTTTTAACCATGCAGTGTTTAGGAAACACTCCCTGAAATCTTGGCATAACTGAGAACTAGATGGGACCAAACAGCAGCTGGGAAATAGCACGTTGTAAGTGCAGGCTACCCTCAGTAGCAGATTCTCATTTTTCTTACCTTTGATTTTCCACCTAGTAAACCATGGATTACCTTAAAAGAAAGGGAGGGATGAGTAGCTTGGCAGACAAGAGACTTACCTCAGACCCTTAGGGTTGGGGATATCTTTATACCTCTGTGTGACCTCTATTCTACCCTAGTGACCTTTGCTTCATGGTCATTTGAACCAAGAAAGGAACCCATTTCCCATGTACAGGCAATTGGAAACAGTATTGAGCACCATGGACTCTAAGAAGATGCACCTGAACACGAACCAGCACACAGAAAAAATAAAATAATTGGAATTTTTTTTAATTCCATGCTTCAAAGACTTCAGTTTTTTTCCCTCTTCTGCCCTGTTAGAAGCTTCCACTTGTGCTTGTAAGATTCGTGACTGCAACTGCCTTAATAAGTTCTTTCTCTTCCGAGCAATGAGTTGATCCAGCCTTGTTTGGTACATCTGTTATAACACATCGCAGACTCTCATAATTATTCTTTTATGTAATTCTACACATTCTGATTAGCTGTGTCTGTTCCAGGCAAGCAGTAGGAGTGTGCTAAGTGCCCCTCATTCAAAAAGAGTTCTTCAAAACAGTACAAAGTGAAATTAAAGTAATTATTAAGTCATAGAAACTAAACACAATTCCATAATAGGCAGAGGGCTGGCAAATAACTAGCACACTACAGTCAGAGAAATGTGTTCAGGACTGCTCTCTGAAATACTTCCTGGTATCAGGTTCTTGGTAATGACACAGAGTGAGTGAAGAGGAAGGAAAACAGATTCGAGGGCCACTTTAAGATTTAAAAGGAGCCTTCTCCTCAACACTGATGGGGAACTCAAGAAGCAGTGTTCAAGAAGAAGAGATGGGTGCAATACTATGTCTAGAAAAGCCTGCCTTCTTGAGCTCATCTCTTTAGCTCTCATGCATATTCTGTGGACCAAGAAGTTTTTAGTATAGAAGAGACAATTAAATTCCAGCTTTTCACCATTGTACCTCTTGCACCAGAGTGAGTAATAGGGCAGAGTGCAATAGACTTAAATTAGATTGCAGCAGAACATGTGTACTGACCTTTTCTCAGAGCAGATCTATTTACTTTATAATGCAGTTCAACTTGTAGGAACTGATGTACTCCTAGCTGGAGTAAAGGTTAAGAAATATGTGCATCTTAATTCATCTGGATTTCAACTCTGCTCTAGTCTTCTGCTTATTGTATAGACCAACATGTGCTGGCCCCAACAAAATGGAGAAAGCAACATGATTTGGAAGTTAGTAATGCATGGGCCCCTCTACCGCTTAGTGCAGTGGTTTTCAAAGTGTGGTTTTAGGCAGGATTGTCAGTGTTACCTGGGGTCTTGTTAGGAATGTAAATGTTGAGGTCCTGTGCCAAACCTACTGGGTCAGAAACCCTTTGTTTCAACAAGCCCTTCTGATGCATGTTAATATTTGAGAACTGTGTGTGTGTGTGTTTGTGTGTGTGTGTCCCCTCCAAGTGCTTTTGATGTGTAGCCAGAGTCAATAATCACTGATGTAATTTCCTGTCTCCTAAAAAATGGAATGCAGCAGGTACCACTGGTGACACACAAATGTTAAGTGGTAGACAAGTAACTTCGCATGATCTGGAAGGTGTGATTTAAAATGGCAGTGGAATGTAATTTTAAATAATATTGAATCTCTTGGTGAAAAAGTGAATCTTTTTCTATCCTTGTCACTGTTCAAAAAAACTTTGTTTGTTATGAACAGAGACTCTATTTTCTCTCTAACCTTTGTTAATCTTCCTTTTAAAATAAAGACAGAGCAGGGCCCAGGCTCAGAACCTCTAGTATTCAACAGCATCAAGACATAATATGATTAATATTATTAAATGTTATTTGGGTTGTGTTTATGGGTTGCTTTTTATTTATGTCAAATGACACTGTTTTTCACTATATGATAGTGATGTATATTTTTCCTTTTAATTAACTTTTTCTCAAAGAAGTATGAAACAATTTAAAAATACATATTTGGCAAGTCATTCAAATAATATATGGCTATCAGGAACTCACTTACAAGACAGAGAGGGAAGGCAATTTCTTTGGCAGTGTTCAGTCATTACACATTATGCCTAATTTCCAGCACCGGCTCCATCTCTATCTCCAGGCCTCGACCCTCAGAAAGAGGACCTGAAGCCTGAGATATTTGCCATCAGTGAAGAAAAATTTCATTATGGTTACTACACAATTTACTAAGATAGAAAAGTGACTCATACATTTCAGAACAATGTGTCATCACAAAATTTGAAATCAAAAGGGTTCTGAATTACCCAGATGATTAAAATGTCAAAAATAGCCCATTCCTCAAAATTCAGGGTAATTGAATTCGGGTTGATCTTGAAAAAAAAACTTAGATTTTTTTCATTTTTATAAAAGCAATGAGATTTTTCAATATAATATTTGGAAAAAATAGAAAGAAGAAAAATATCACATCATCCATTGTTATATTCCATAAAGAGACAGTAGTACTATTAAGATTTTGGCCAGTTTTCTTCCAGTCCTTTTTTCTCCATTTAATTGTCACACGCACACACACACACACACACACACACATATATATATACACACACAATTCTGTGCCTTACTTCAGCATGAGAGTATAACATTTTCTTTTATATTTTAATTAGAGTTTTATTGTATAGATAATAGAAAAGTAAATAAATCACTTTTAATAAGGGTCTCTATGACCACAATTTCAGTACAAAAAGTACATCTTTTGGGTTGCTTTTGGCTGCAAATAACAGAAAACCCAACTCAAATTGGCTGAAACAATAAAGATATGTATTATCTCACATAACAGAAAACCCAAAGTGGAGTAGATTATTCTACAATGACCGGCTTGACAGTGACAATAGGACCTGGGTTCCTACATCTTCCTAGTGTGAGCTTCATCCTCAGACTGGTAGTAAAAGGGTTCAACAGTTCTAGGTATCAAGGCCAGTTTCCCATGGGAAAAGAAAAAATAATATTTTTACTTAGACCTGTCTTAGAAAAGAGAAAATGTTCTGCAGAAATTCCCCAACAGACTTCCCCTTACCTCTCATGAGATGGAGTTGGGTGACATGCTCACCACTTCTGACCCAGTCATGGGTCAGGGAAAAGAACTTTACCTGATTGGCTTACCTCAAATTCCTTAGGAGGTGAATCAAGTACCTTTCCCTCCAAAAAAAAGGAAAACAGATAGGGAGGTCTTTTTAGCATATTGACATAACAAATAATGTGGTGCAACGTTTAAAGAAGATATTTAACATTTCTCAGTGGCTAATTGATTTTACATAGTGCATAAAATCTAATGAGCTTCTAGTTTAACTCCTAGTCCCTCTGTGTTTTAGTCCATTCTCCTTCTCTGTCTTTATTTACTCACCATTTCCAAGATAATTTTACATTCTAATCAGTCACTATTTTCCCTTGTTTCATAAGTACACATTTTCTTCCCCAATGATGTCCTAATCAGGTTTTACTTCAATTCCCATTCCATATCCAACTCCTGATATTTTCTTATATTTGTAGAGCATCTCTTAGGTAAGCAGAATTTCCCCTCTACCTTTATGGGTTTACCTCCTACAGTAAACATGTCTTGCATTTGTCTGTCCAACATTTACTCCCCTAGTGTCTTGCTGATTGCACCCCACATTTCCATGGAGAAATACACTTCCCCTACTTTCAATCCATATGACTCAAATCTCCAGTCAACAGAGAATCATGATCAGACAGTAACAATGAATACTTCAAGGATGGACAATTGGGTCGATTGAAGTCTGTTAGCCTGAATTCCAGGACTTTTAGAACTGATTTGCTTTTTGTTTGGGTTGCTAATGGGATTTAAATCTGGAAATCCTGGCAGCCATCTTGCCACCAAAGAGACAGCCTGCCTGGGAACGAAGCCAACATAAGTTAAAGAAGATACAAACCAATAGGTGGAGAAGATGAGACTAAACTCTCAGAACAACACTGGATTCCATGGAGCCAGCCATGCTCGAAACACATTCACCTCTGGACTTTTCAGATGTGAACAAAGGCCTTCCCTTTTTCACTTAAGCTAGTTTGAATATAATTCTATCTCTTGCAAACAAGAGAGCTATGGTTAAAATGGCTCCTTCTCCCTCATTCTAATTCTATTCATCCTTCCTCATTCTAAATCTATTTATCTTTAAAGGAGCAATTCAAATGACATCTTCTCTAAGAAGTCTTCCCTAGCCACCCATCTTTACTTCTTTCTCTTTTTCTGAACAATTTCATCTGTTTATTGCCTATTTGATTTTTTAAATGAGTTTCAACCCTAAGTACAATATTCCAATTAGGGGCCATGTTTTATTTTTTTTTTTTTATTCACCTCAAAACCTGAAACAAAGCTTAAAACACAGTAGGTACTTCCTAATTTATTATGTGACATTTCTCAAAAAACTGAACTGGAGATGCTTATTATGCATAGAGTTCTTGGGAAGGGGTCAAGATGCTATTGAACTTTGAAAATATCATGTTGTGAGTTTCTGTCATTTGTCTCCTATGACCCAAGAGGACATATCTATTATTTGGGTCTCTGAGGGAGGTCTCTCAAACCAGAATCCCTCAAACCCAACTGACTTCTACATACTTTGAAAAAACAAAGAAAATAAATGAAAGCCAAAATATCACTCATAAATTAATACAGACCAGCATGGAAGATGACCCATCAGGAATGATGGTCATGTGAGCTTACTAATACTGAATCCCCAAATTAGGAAGACTTAATTTCCTAGTGTTGGCAGCACTGAACCAGGGACGCTTCACCTCCCCACTTCTTCTAGGGTAGAAGGAGAAGCAGAGAAATTATGCTCCCTGTGGACAGCTCACTTCCAAGATAAATAAAGTCAGAACGGAGCCAACTATACCCGGTTGTTCCATTAACAATTACAATCAAATGTCATTCCACCTCCCCAAGCAAAGGATAGAGAGGGTAAGACCATAAGTGCCATACCTAAGGAGTTCCCTCTGCCTTGAAGGAAACATCAAGAGTAGAGAAGAAGCATTCCCATCTCTCAACACATACTCCCAGCCACTTGCTCTAGTCATACCTTAGAGGCATGCGACTGATGGGTGCCAATGGTCTCCTCTTATGTTCCCAGTGATAAAAAAAGAAGCCACAAAGAGATTGTGAGGAAATGATCTAAGAGACTGGGTAATATCACCTAGGAGAAGTAGACATGGTGTTACTTTATAAAAAAAAAAAAATCTCTTTTTTCATTCTTTCAGTCCTGACCTTTTCTTATCCAAAGTTTCTTTCTAAATCTTTTTTTTTTTTCTCATGTTTTTGGGACTATGCTGAAGTGGAATTTTATGCTTCAAGAAGAGAGTTGATGATTCATGGAAAGTGTAATTGACAAAGAGTTGGCATGTTTTTCACTCTTCTTTTTTCTGCATCAACTGAATAAGATTAGTGTCTTACATGGATTATTTTTTCAATAATAGGGAAGGCTATGTTGGCAACAAAAATTGCAAAACAGCAACATCATAGGCTTGCCTAACCATCCAGTGGAAGAGAATTTTCAACTTGAAAAACACTCTTGGTCTAGCAATCCAAGGACCTGAGTAACAATTACGACTGAAATCATTAAGCATCCATGTTTTCTCCTATGGAGAAATTGGATCCTCTAGGGTTCTTAGAGGGAAAAGCAGAAACATTAGGGGAAGACCTTACATAATAACCTTTCTGTAAAGCTTGGATGGCACAAATGATTTTGTAAGACATTCAAGTCACATGTCATTAATCAGAAATGACAGTCTTTATTCACATATATTTGACTGAGCTGCATAATTTTAGACTCCAATAGGTCTAGATAAATGACCCTAAGTATTGTACTATTTCAAATTGACAATGATTGATGATAGAGGAAAAAAACGAATGCTGAAAAGGGACCCTGAAGTAAACATTGAAAATCAGTTGTACTACTTTGGGGAAAAGAAATTTGGGAATTTTCTTCTTCAAGACCTTTCCTCTTTCTTAACATCTCTATCTACTTAACTCTCAGTTTAATCAGTTAGATATTGTCAGGATTTCAAACCACAATGAAAAACAGACTCATTTAGTTATTTTTGTTCAAATAGGTAGAAGAGAAGATAATGATTAATAAAAATGTGTCTATTCTGTAAATATTTCCTGAACCTTTTATACATCCGGCACTGTTCTAGGCACTAGGGCTTCAGCAGATACAGTTTTTGCTTTCTAGGAATGCTCATCTTAGTGGAAAGGGATAGGCAATATCCAAGTGAACAAATAAATAAATGAGATTATTTCAGAGAGCTCTATGTTGTATAAAGAAAATAAAACAGGATGATTTAATAGAAAGTGATGGCGATGGAGATTTCATTTGGAAGGTCAAGAAAGAACTTGCTGGCCAGGTGCAGTGGCTCACACCTGTAATCCCAGCACTTTGGGAGGCCAAGGTTGAACCCAGGAGTTCAAGACCACCCTGGGCAATGTGGCAAAACACTGTCTCTACAAAAATTAATCTACAAAAATTAACCAGGCATGGTGACATGTGTTCGTAGTCCCAGCTACTAGGGACGCTTAGGTGGGATGATCACCTGAGTCCAGGAGTTTGAGGCTGCAGTGAACCGTGATCAAGCCACTGCACCCTAGCTTGGGCAACAGAGTGAGACCCTGTCTCAAAAAAAAAAAAAAATTAAAAAAAGAGAGAAAGGCCTTGATAAATAGATGACATTTTAGCTGAATAGAAGCCAGTTTTTCAAAGAACATATTATGCAGTGAGAGCAGCAAATGCAATGGCCCTGAGGCAGGGACAGGTTGGTCCATGGAAAGAAGAGACAGGAGGCAAGCACTCCCCTTTTCCCGTAAGAAGGGAGAGGTAGTAAGCCAGGACAGAGAGACCGTCAGGGCCAGATTATATAAGGCCTTTTAGGTAGTTTTAAGGAGTTCGAATGTTGGGCTACATGAGGTTTTAATAAAGCAGAAGGAAACCTCAGTTTCACCAAAACAAGACCTATAATTTCTTAAACCCTCCTGAGCAAAGCATTGTGTCTCATATAATACATTTCATTATACAACCTCCTTGCAAAAAAGTTATTGTGTTTTAAAGATAGGGAAACAACAAGCTCTTATCAAGGTTGCAGAGCTAGTAAGTAATAAAGCCCAGATTCAGATTCAAACCTCAGGCCATCTATTTCCAAAGTAAAATACTGCCCACTACCCCCTCATCATATTTTCTTATTTTCTCAAAATATTAAAGGAACAAACACACAATTATATCATATTCTTGGCCCCAATGAAGACATGATAATGTTTACTAGTAGTGCATAATAAAATAATTCATAAGTTCTATGTCAAATGTTTATGTGCATTTTGATCCTTTTTAAAATTTTCTTAATAATTGTGTGAGGCTATTTCTTGCTAATTCTCCCTGGTGAAAAGCTTTCCTTAGAAATAGCTTTCTGAGTAGGAGCCCGTGATGGGCAGGTGTTATGCAATGGCTATTGATTCAGTCATTCAAAGATTCATAGAGTGGACACTATGGTTCTAGATATGAGGGATACAATAGTGAATAGAACAGCAAAAACATATCTCTCCTCATGAAGCTACATTCTAACAGAGGAAACATCTATGTGTCATAATAAAACCAAAACTGCTTTTCCACCAATGATTCCCACAGTACTGGTGTTCCGCCTTTCTTTTCTTTGCTTTGCTTTTGTTTTAAGAAAATAAAACTCATTCTTATTTTTTTGTTAGTATACTTTAAGTTCTGGGGTACATGTGCAGAACATGCAGTTTTGTTACATAGGTATACACGTGCCATGGTGGTTTGCTGCACCCACCAACCCATCATCTACATTAGGTATTTCTCCTAATGCTTTCCCTCCCCTAGCCCCCCCATCCCCCGACTGGCCCTGTGTGTGATGTTCCCCTCCCTGTGTCTATGTGTTCTCATTGTTCAGCTCCCACTTATGAGTGAGAACATGTGGTGTTTGGTTTTCTGTTCTTGTGTTAGTTTGCTGAGAATGATGGTTTCCAGCTTCATCCATGTCCCTGCAAAGGACATGTGCTAATCCTTTTTTATGGCTGCATGGTATTCCATGGTGTATATGTGCCATATTGTATTTATCCAGTCTATCATTGATAGGCAATTGGGTTGGTTCCAAGTCTTTGCTATTGCAAATAGTGCCGCAATAAACCTAAGTGTGCATGTGTCTTTATAATAGAATGATTTCTAATCCTTTGGGTATATACCCAGTAATGGGATTGCTGCGTCAAATGGTATTTCTGGTTCTAGATCCTTGAGGAATCGCCACACTGTCTTCCACAATGGTTGAACTAATTTACACTCCCACCAATAGTGTAAAAGTGTTCCTGTTTCCCCACATCCTCTCCAGCATCTGTTGTTTCCTGACATTTTAATGATCACCATTCTAACTGGTGTGAGATGGTATCTCATTGTGGTTTTGATTTTCATTTCTCTAATGACCAGTGATGATGAGCTTTTTTTCATATGCCTGTTGTCTGCATAAATGTTTTCTTTTGAGAAGTGTCTGTTCATATCCTTTGCCCACTTTTTGATGGGGTTGTTTGTTTTTTTTCTCATAACTATCACTTCTCTGAAAAAATATTTATCTGCTAAACATCCTGGGCTGAAAACAAAACAAAACAAAAACAAAAAACTACAACAATATCAAAAATCCTTACCTGATAATGGCAGAGTATTCATTAAAAAGTAACAAATTTGATTTACCAATTTTCTAATATTGTTACCAAGCAAAACAGGCTCACTGCCTGATGCTCTAGAAGCCAATACAATGACACTGGGTTTTTGAGAAAAGAAAAGGTTTTTATTGAAGGTCAACCAAAAAGGAGACAGGAGTCCAGCTCAAATCTGTCTCCTGGTGCCACCTTCAAGGCAGTATTTTTATTAGAAAATGTTCAAGGGTGGATTCTGGCTTTAGTACATGATTGGGGGAGGGAAAGAGGAGGTCTGGAGAGTCCTCAAGCATGTACTGTTATCTCTTCATGCCTCTTCATGAGTCACACATGCAATTTCAGGAGAAGATAGTATGAACCATGTGGCGGGAATTTGGACTGTGATGTCAGCAAGTTCATTCTGCATAGACTGTAGTCAGCCATATTGGTTCCAATCAATTTCAGCCAGTTTTGTTATCCTACAAGCAGAGGGAGTTCCAGCATTTCAGCAAGTAGTTGTTTTTTTAATCTGTCATCCTACAAACTCAAGAATCTGTTAGGCATTTATTTCTTTAACTCTTTGGAGTACAATTTCAATGTCAATTATAAATTAACATTTTTAAAGCGCATATGGCTAAAAGTGCTACAAAAAAGCTACAGAAAAATGAATAATACATAGTCCTTGCCTTCTATGAGCTTACAAATCCACCAAGAATTGGAAAGAACAAATAAAAAACTGAAAAGATCAAAGACAAGGTGAATATTGGAGTTTCCAGTGCCAAGATTCCAAATCAGAACACTGGAATTATTTCATATAGGAGCTATGTTTAAATCTCACTAGGTGGCATAGTCAAATACAGAGAGTATTACCTGGATCGCATGGCATTAGAAGAGTAGGGTCAATAAAGGAAACAGAAGTCAGGTAAGATAGAGAGATGTGGTCTTAAATTATCTACTATGAGCACCATTGATAGGGATTCTCTTAGTTTTTATTGGGCCTACAAATATCTTTGTTTTTCTTCCTTTTTGAAGGGTATTTTCTCTTGATAGAGAATCCTAGGTTAATGGCGAAGTTTTTGTTTGTTTGTTGGCATTTTAAAGATGTCATTCTATTGTCTTCTGGCCAGCATTGTTTCTGATGAGAAGTCAGCATTCATTCTTACCTTGGATCCCCTATATACAATGTATACTTTTTTCTCTTGCTGCTTTTAAGATTTTTCCTTTATCACTGGTTTTCAGCAATTTGCCTTGTTGTACCTTGATGCAGTTTTCTTTGCATTTATCCTGGTTTTGGTTTGTTGAATTTGTTGGATCTGTAAATTTCAAGTTGTTATCAAATTTGAAATTTTGTGGTCATCATTTCTTAAAACATTTTTTCCTGTTCCTTTCCCTTTTCTGGGATTTCAGTGACACATATTAGGACTTTGTATATTGCCTCATAGGTCAATGAGGCTTTCTTATTTTTATTTTTATTCTTTTTTCTCTGTTTCAGTTTGGTTTGTTTCTATTGCTGTATCTTCAAGTTCACTAATATTTTTCATCAGTGTCTAACTAAGCCAACCCATTGAATTTTTTATTTTCAATATTGTATTTTTTCATTTCAATATGTTTTATTCTTTTTTATATCTTTCATTTCCCTCTTCAACTGCATGCATATTTTTATCTAAATTTTTGAGCCTATATATAAGACCTGTTTTAAAGTCTTGTCTGCTATTTCCATCTTCTCTGTCACTTCTGAGTCTATTTCTATTGATTGATTTCTTGTAGTTATGGGTCACATTCCCCTTTTTCTTATCATTTCTATTATTTTGTAATAGTATTCCAGAAATTATCAATGTTACAATATTGAGTTTCTAGATTTTGATTGTCTTCGAAGAGTGTTGAATTTTGTTTTATTAGGAAGTTTCATGTAGATTTGCTTGTTCCTTTCGAGATTTGTTTGTAAATTTTGTTACAGAGAGTATAGAGTAGGTTTAACTCGAGGGCTACATCCCACTTCTAAGCTATGGCCCTCTGGGCTTTCTACTGAGTGTAAATATTCAACGAATTTTTCCCGTGTGGTATGGGAAAAGTTGAATGTCTCCCAGTCCAGTGTGAGATCTAGGAATTGTTCAGCTTCAGTAGTTTTTCTGGGCTAATCTCATGAAGTTTCTTACTGTGTACATGCATTTTAGTATTTAACCAAAAGGCTCAAGAACTCCTATGAAAATTTTGAGAGCTCTTTCTAAGCATACCTCCTCTTCTTCTGTACTCTGGCCCACAAATTCCAGCTGCCTAGGCCTCCCCAGTCTCCTTATCCTGAACTCAGGGGGTCTGATTTGCTTTCAATGGGCTTTCCCAATTTATTGGAATCCATAAAACGTCTCAAGCAGAAAGTTTTGGTGATCATTAGTCTCACCTCATTGGTCTCGCTTCTTTCAGAACTCACAATCCAGTGCATTTATTGCCCAGTGTCTGAAACCACGGTTAGATAGCAATTACTTCCTCATGGTCAGAGGTGGAAGTCCAGCACCATTAATATGAGAGAGCAGTTTGAAACACAGGATAAATAATATTTCACAGAGAAAAAGATAGGTAAGAGGATCTCTATGGGAAGTAGTACAGAATTCTAGTAAAGGAAATAATTTTTAATGTCTGACAGATCTTCATTCAAATGCTAGATTTGCAATGTGAATGGGTAAAGGGAGGATTAAATGAGATAATGCATGCTAAATCCATAGTATAATACTATCACAGAGAAAAACCCAATCAATATTGTGAGAAATAATAATGGAAAGAATAACTGGGTAATATCTGAAGAATTCAGAGTCTTATGGAATGCCTCAAATAGTGAGGAAATAAAGAATTTTACATGCACACAAAAGAAGAAATTAGTATGACATATAAATGAGAGATGACTTTAAAATCTTTTTTAACCAGATCAGTTTTCCCACATATTGCCTCTGATCCTGTTACTCACACTAGTGAAATATTAGTAACATGATGTTTCAATGATTAGGAAAATAAGAAAACAAGCAAAGAAAACAGCTTCCTAAAGAATAAGCAACTGGAGATCAAGAGTCATCTCTTGTTCATGTGGCATAATTTCCAATTTAAAGCTGGGACCCTATAAATAGCATTTAATATAAAAAGTACACACTAAAATCTTTCATTTGTGCATGCATTCACTCAGTGAGTGTTTAATAAGCATCTTCTCTAGCCTACAACTACAGACTGCATATGAATAGGCATTCTAATCCCCCTTCACTCTTGTCCAGTCCCATGACAGAAGCTATTATACAAATGTCTCATCCCTACTGTAGCAAGTTCCCTGGCATCTGGGTGTGGTCATGTGATAAAGATCTGATATGAGAGAAAATTAATTTTCCCTTCTTCCTTTGGATATTCTCATGTAAGAACTTGATACTTAGAGTACAGACTCCATCTTGCAAATCTGAAGTGACAACTTTGAGTATGCAAAACCAAGAAACTATAGATAGCAGGATGGATGAACAGAAAGAGCTAGAGGTCTATGTATACCATTAAACAACCAAGCCATCCATGAATCACTGACCTCCAGAGCTCTTGTTATGTGAGAAAAGTAAATGTCTTCAGCTGTTAATCCAGTGTTAACTAGGATTTTCTTTTATTTCAGCTAAAATCATCCACATACCATCGAGACTACCAAGATGTCAAGTCAGTCAGATACTTTCTTGGGGGCCTTGAAACAGGAAGATAAGGAATGCAGGCAAATAGCAATAAAGTTTAAATACAGATTTTCAGTAAAATACAGGTTTTTAGGTAAAAAACAAAATGTCCTTCTGGGTCAGTCTTGCAAATCTTAGTGGAATACATAGGATTTAAACTAGAATTCTTGTTGAACCTCTAATATAATTCATGCAAGGTAGAAATAAGAAGTGCAGTACTATTCACAATAGCAAAGACTTGGAACCAACACAAATGTCCAACAATGATAGACTGGATTAAGAAACTGTGGCACATATACACCATGGAATACTACGCAGCCATAGAAAATGATGAGTTCATGTCCTTTGTAGGGACATGGATGAAGCTGGAAACCATCATTCTCAGCAAACTATCGCAAGGACAAAAAACCAAACACGGCATGTTCTCACTCATAGGTGGGAATTGAACAATGAGAACACATGGACACAGGAAGGGGAACATCACACACTGGGGCCTGTTGTGGGGTGGGGGGAGGGGGAAGGGATAGCATTAGGAGATATACCTGATGTTAAATGAAGAGTTAATGGGTGCAGCACACCAACATGGCACGTGTATACATATGTAACAAACCTGCACGTTGTGCACATGGACCCTAAAACTTAAAGTATAATAATAAAAACAAAAGAAGTGCCACAAAGAAGTGCAAATAATTATGTGTAAAGTTGGAGAAGGGAAAACGGTATACTTGGCACTTTTCAAGGCACTATGTATCACAGAAAAAGAAAAATGTTCACTAATCTCAGGCAACTTTAAGCCCATACTGGCAGTTTATCAATGCCAGTACATTTGAAGAAAGAAAGATTAAAACATGTCAATTTTCAGAGTAAGACTATAAAGGGTTTATTCCCTTGAAGGTGAGATCTGAGAAGTCAGTTTAACAGTTCAAACTGGGCAGTTTCTGGGAAAGTTTTATTGAGCTCTCAGCCAGTGGTCTCCTGCTTGCAGCCTTGGTCTATGGCACCTCAGTGAACTTCTCTACCATCCAGTGGGGTAGAACCACCTACTCTGCATCAGGTGTGAATCTCTTCCTATATTCTTTCTAGTTCTCTTTATTCCTCATTAACCAGTCCCCTGACACTCATTAATAACCATTTTGTATTAAACCTTTCCAGTTCAGATGACGTTATAGCTTCTGTCTCTTCACTGGACCCTGACTGATACCCATGCCATTTTATGTCCACATCCCCCCACATCCTGCCCACTCTGTTACATTGTTTCTTAGTTTAATAAATGCTCCAAGAGGCATTAGGTTAATTTTGTTTAACTGAGAGTTTCCTAGGTTTGCTGGACCACAAGACATTTTTATAGCTAACCACCTGTTATTCGAGTACCTTAAAGTACACTGGTATTTAATGGATCAGTTTGGGAAATGTTGCTTAGGGGACTCATGGCTAATCTAATTGTTTCCTAAGAAGGTGAAAAGTGCTTGCAGCCTCCAAAGGCACTAATTTTGATTCACTACATTATTGAATATCTACAGTGTTCAGGACACAGCATCACCAGAAAGCTTATAATAAATGGAAATGTGAATGTCAAAAAATGTCATGGGGAATTTTAGGATGCTGTGGAAAAAGAAAGGAGTGAGAAATTCAATTTATTAGGGGAAGTACTAGGGAAAACTTTCTGGAAGCAAGGACATGTGAATTCAATCTTCGAAAATAAGCAGATTTTGATGGAGATGCATATAATGGAGTGGGCCAGGGTAGGAAAAATAGGCAGGTGGGGTAGGAGGCAAAGACCTGTGGTTATTAGGACTCCCATGCTACCACTGACAAAAATCCAACTTAATGACTTAAGCAGAAAAAGGAATTTATTGGCATGAATAATTAAGAAGTCCAATTCATGCTGCAGGCACAGCTGGATCCAGAGACTTAAATCATGTCACCAGACTCAGGTTTACTCTTTGATTTCCTGGTTTCACTTTTCTCAATTGGACACCATTTCCACTCATGGAGTGTCTCTCCTAGAGTTAGTTGTTATGTTTGATTCTGAGCAACCTTAGAAAAATTAAGGATTATCTTTTTCCTAAGCGATCTAGAAAAAAAAAAACTCACAGAATTCAGTTCAATAGACTGTGACTGAGTCACATGTCCATCTGTAAGCCTATTCTTGTGAGTAATAAGACGTGATGCTCTCAGTGGCCAGGCCTGGTTCACACATCTATCCTTGGGCCAAAAATGGAGTCAGCAACATCCATGCCACATAAATGAAGGAACACCAGGAGGCAGTTACCAAAAGAAGAATGGCTACCAGACAAGCAAAAAGAAAAAGAAAAAGGAGAGCTTATACTTCCATGGGGAAAGAGTAGAAGATGGAATTTTATGATGCTAAACTTGATGCTGAAAAGAATGACCCAAAGAATTCAGGTTGATCAGGTTTGTAAGTGAAATCATTTGATACTTGAAAAATAGAAAAGTCTTGCCTAACTCTAAGGCACACACATTAACCTTCTCAGATTAGCAAAACTAAGTAGAGATCTAAAGTCAGTTTCCCTACATCAGAGGAGACACCAGGAAGGTTTGGAATTTCCAGAATGCCTGGAGAGAACATCACTCTGGTATTTTGTGAGCAACTTTAATGTTCACAAGGACAGAAGGCACTAAAAATAGAACAAGAGATGGCATTGCTGCCTGACAGTGGGTTCATACAGCTGATATTAGATACCAATGTACAATGCAAAAATAAGGACACCAAACATTACCCAATCTGAATGAGGTTTTTTCTCAATTTCTCATTACCTAGAAGGCTTAATATCACATTAACCAACTAAAGCTGCCACAATGCTGATGGGCCCTGGTGAGGAACTGCTAACAAGATCTGAACATGCTTAATAAAATGACCAACTCTCACTGATTTATAGCCAACTAATTACCGGGCAAATATCCAGGCTGTGTTCTCCCTGCTGGAATTGATAGCAGGCTGTCAATGTGAAAAGGGACAAAAAGGCAGTTCAGAGTTGAAAAATAAGAAGAAATGTTTGATATATTAGAGTGGACACTGTTACTCTCTATCAAGTTATCTTGGGATGTCTAGAGTCATACTGTCAGCCAAGTGCAGACTGTTATTTTTAGGGGAATCTAGAGTTACTTAGAATCCCATCCACATACAAAATATTGGAAAGGGGTGGTAAAGGCTATTGTAAAGTTTGGCTCTCGGGAGAAAAGAAAACAGAAAGCATACTAGGGCTGTAGAAATCAGTTGCCTTACTGCAGAGATCCCTTATTTCTTACAAAGAATGTGCATTTTGGAAACCTCTGTCTACGGCATTGTTATTCATTTGGGGAGCACTGTGTCACAAATTTTCTAATGCACAAGACTGAAGTTTAAATGAGAGATTTCTGGTTAAATAAAAGACTACCCAAGCAACTGACCACTGAAGTTTGCTGCTTTTGCAAGAACATCCAGGTACATCAGTAGACACACCTCACTTAAGCAGGCAGAAGCTAGCTACCAGTGGCTTGGAATTAAGAGACTGAACAAAAACAGAACATCTCACTGACTGTGTGCTCAAAAGCAAAACAAAACAAAACCAAAAAACCATTTGACCTGGCCTTTCTTGACCCAGCTGTCAAGGGGATCATGACAGGGGATCATGGTGCTTTTCCAATTTAGCCTCATTTATCTCATATATCAATGTTACATCTAAAGATGAACACAGGGCATCCTTGCACAAAGGGGATATTGACCAACAAGGCTTGGGGCATTGGCAAGTTTCTGAAAATGAAATGATAGGAAAAAAATAAGGTGTCAGGCATATAATAGGTCACATACATCTGCAAAAACAATAGCTACAGCTTGTCAATTTTCTTAAAAGGCCAGAGTCCCTCATTTGTTATGTTTTTCTTCTTTCCAGGGAAAATGAATGTAGAGCATATTCTAGTATGGAGTCTTCCCCCACTCAGCTATGAGCTGAGTTCAATTAGCTCATCTACTTCTGGTGTATGCATCTACGGTTTCTTTCCTCTTCTGATTTCAACATGTAATACCCTTTGTCTGGTCCCTCAAGAAATGATATATTTTCAAATTCATAGTCTTTTATTGTAAGCAATAGAAATGAACACTAGTAAAGTAAATAAATAAAGACAAAAGAGGAGGTAGTAGGCTTATTTATGGAATGAAGAGTGGAACACTTGCAAGGACTTGGGAAGGAAGGACCAAGCCTGCTAAGGAAATCCCACAGTGAAAATTCCTAAACCTTCTCTAACAAGCATTTTCCAAGTCAACTTGATGATAGGACTCACTTAGAAGTGTTTGTTAAAACACTGATTGCTGGGTCTAACCCACACCTGCTGAATCAGAACTTTGGGCCGGGGGTATGCTGGGATCTGTATATTTAATAGAAAAGACCAAGAAACACTGAAGACAGTGCTAATATTAACTCCACTCCATTGAACCTCAGGCTCTGCTTCAACTGGCAAATTCCAGGAAGGGATAAGCTGATTGGCTCACCCACGGACAGGTGTCTGCCCCTGAGTCCATCAGCTATGGCCAGAAAGACTGTGTATTGAAAAACACTGTCCAGTGTGTCACGGGCCAGTGCCAGAGAAGGAGAAATCACCAAGAGCAGAGAATCACTGCTAAGTAGTGTCTATTACCAACAAAATAAGCCAAAGCTATGTACATTTCACTATCCAGTCTTTAAATCTCATTTAGCATTCTGAAATATTATATCAACTATTTTTTGAAATTATAAAATGATGCTGTGCTGGAAAATTGGAGGAAGTATCCCGGTGGCAAATCCAACCTTGATCAAGAGTTTGCATGGAGCAAGAGGAAAACAGCCAAGACACAGAGGCTTACAGTGACGAATGCTACATCTAAGACATCTCGGACACCACTTATACTATGGAGGGCTACCCCTCTTCCCAACCTCCAAGCCCCCACCCTGAAATGTCCCCAAATTGGAGTGCAATCAAGTCATGAAGTCAGTGTACAAGCTTGGGAAAGCCCCAGCACCCCACTCCTGGCTGGCTTTTGGGGGTTACCATCCATGTCTTCTGCTCTTCCCCCGGAGGCCCCATGGCCACTGATTTTGCCAAATGATGGCAGCTTAACAGACAGTCTTCTTTGTCCGCAAGGTCTTAGTCACTGTGAAAGTTCAATAGAAAGTTTTGCTGCAGGCATATTTTCAAATGCCAGGAAAGCATCTGACAGTGTTGGGTGTTTGGAGGGCTATTGTTAGGAAGATTAAGTGCTGCCCTATGTTCAATCATTTATTCAACAGCCACATGGGGAAGCTAACAAGAGGAGGCAAGTGTGATATGGATGTTTGGTGGGTTTTGCAAAGGAGAGTTTTTCTTCTTATTTTATGCATAAAGCCAAGGAGGGAATCTGAACAAGAGGCAGGTCATATGGCCTCACTTTGAAGAATAGACTGTTGGAGTTGACTCTAGGCAATGTCCTCACATAAAAGGCAGGCTGAGAGTAAGAGAACACCTTCCAAAAGCCATAAAACTAATTATTTTGGCCTAAACCAAAAGTGAGTTTTTCCTTTTCCCAGACTCCTGATAAATGCTTTGTTATCAGCCAACTCTCTGAAAAGAATTTTCTTTGCAATTCCACTCACTTTTCTTTTGACAACAGGGGTCTCGTTTTTCACAGGAGAAGCACTTCTCTCTGTTCTTAACCCACGTACTTCTCATGGAGTTGAACGCATCCTCAGTTCCAGGGATGAGCAGGTGACTTAAGCCTAACAAATTAGATCAGTACCCTACACTAGCTCATCGTCATTGCTTTATACTTGAGCACAAGACCCAATTAGACCCAGCTAAACACAGAGATTTTATTGAGGTGGTGAGAGAAGAGACCATTCTCTTTTCTGCTGGAAATGCTAGCAGTACAGATATTTGAGCTGGGCTTCCAGAAGTCATTGAGTGAAAACAGAGAATGAAAACACCCCAGTAGAACACAGAACAAAGACATAGAGAGAAAATGAGTGCTGATGACATGTTTGCACTCTTGGCACCAGTTGTGTCTGAAGCTACTTATGTCCCTGGACTTCACAGTTATACAAGCAAATAAATGCGCTTACTTTCCCTCAGCCAATTTGATTTGTGTTTTTATCTCTTGTAATTGAGAGTCCTAATTAAAACAGGAATAAACAGAATAATGCATTGTGTTAAGTTCTATTTCTTTTAAAACTATTGAGCACGTGCTTTGGGCTTCTGAAGAAGTAGAAGGCATTGTCCTTCTGAAGTGCTAAAGGAAAGACAGTGTTTATACATGCACAAAGTATAGCATAATATCTACTTATAGCAATAAAAAGGGGTTTATGTAGCAAATGAAATACAGAAGGGCTGAGGTGGTCCAAAGAGAAAAGTCAACATGGAAGGCACAGGTGTAGTTTTCTTGGAGGAGAGATAAGCTGGGTCAATGTCAAATTTGGTTATTTCTTCCCCCGCTTAGCCAGATGGGCTTGGGCCAAAGGGTTTATGCTTGAGACAGCAGTAAGAGTCTTGGCCAACACCACAATCCTCTTAGATGCCACTGGGAAATCTAACAATTCAGCTTCCCCTCCCACGTGCTTTTTGGTGTGTTGGATTTGGAGAGCTCTCCAGATGCTCCAGGGTTAAGTCAGATCAGCTATAGTCATCTCAATATCCCCCTACAATAACTTTGAAGATGCACTATTCTTGAACTCTGCGTCCTATTACTGACTTCACATAAAAATTATCTAGAAATCAGTCAATCAACATCTTTAAGCGTCTATTGTGGGCCCACCTTGTGATGAGGGGAATGTAAACATTCATGTGTAAGACACGGACCCTGTATCCCATGAGCTTTACAATCAGTAGTGACCTATATAACAAATTAGATTATCAGCAAATGCTTGTATGTGTACCCAATAAAGTGCAATGGTTAGCATGAAAAGAGGGAGGATCAGAATGTCAGCTCCCTACATGATTCAGCCATAAAAAAGAATGAAATCACATCTTTTGCAGCAACATGGATGGAACTGGAGGTCATTATCTTCAGTTAAATAAACCAAGCATAGGAAGTCAACCATCATATGTTCTCACTCATAAGTGGGTACTAAAAAATGTGTACACGTGTGCATAGAGAGTGGAGTGATAGATAGTGGAGACTGGGATGGATGAGGGGATGGGAGAGAGGTACATGATGAGAAGTTGTTAATGGGTACGACATATGTTAATCAGGTGATGAATACCCTAAAAGCCTTGACTTGACTGCTATGCAAACCATGCATTTAACAAAATTGTTCATATAACCCATCAACTTGTACAAATAAAATAATAATAATAGCAATAATCATACATTTTAAAAAGCTACCTGAAAGCAAAGCTTGCATTTCAGGCAATTTGTTCCCTGCTAGATCCAATACAGAACCTTACAAAGGCTCACTCCATATATTGCTGGGGATTATAGAAGATTTACTGAAGAAGGTGTCTGGGAGTAATATTTGGAATATACAGCCCAGAGTGATGGGCAATGCTCTGCTTCTAAATGTGGAAGATTTCATCGTGTGGGGAAAATGCCATAACTGTCATTGAAGACTGTGGTTTGAATGGTTTGGCTGGACTTCCAAAGCCTTCTGTACATTCACAAGTGAGTGAAAGATGAGAGGCTAAGTTTCTGTATATTGGACTCTGAAAACATTTCTTCTTTCTACCCCTCCTAGTCTTGTCGTATTCATTAAAAATCAGAAATAAGAGTGAAGATTGGACAAATAACTGCAATGCATTAATTACTTTGGGTAAAGGAAATCAAAGGTCTTTAAGAACGAGTGACTTTCCCCTGCAATGGGAGGTTTCCTAGGTCATCTCACTCTCTCTCACATACTATATTCTATCCAAGACCTGAAATATCATTACTCCTTCACAGTACATCATCCCAGCATATTTTGGAATGTCCCTCTTTGCTGAGCAGTGGTTGGGTGGATTGACAATATGTGTGTTCAGCCTACCTTTCTATGTGCCCTATGTTCTCTCCTATCGCAGCCCTCACCAAACTGTTTTGTAATTACTTTTGTCTATAATTTGCTGGATCTGCTGGCCTCTGCGCTTGTTCCTCTATGGTTTATCCTCAACCCAGCATCCAGAATGATCTGTCTTAAACAAAAGGCAGATTGTGTCAGTCGACTGTTCAAAATTCTCCATTGACTTCATTTCTCACTCACAGTAAAATCGCAAGCCCTAAGAATGACCTAGAAGACCCTATACCAGTGGTTCTCCTACTAATAGGAAATTAACAAAACCTAGAGAGGCTTATGAAAAACAAACAAGCAAGCAATGTCAATGCTGCACCCACCCAAAACTAATTACATCAATTCCTGGAGCTGTTATTTTTCTAAAAGGCCCCCCAGGTAATTCTTTTTAATGTTATTATTATGGAGAATTTTGAACATACACTAAAGTAGACAAGCTAGCACTTTGACCTCTGTGTATCCATCATCCAGCCATCTCTCAACCCATGGCCAATCCTGCCCCCTCCACATCCCCATACAGTTCCCCTGTCTTGTATTACTATGGAGCAAATTCAGACATCATTGCATTATCCAGGTAGTCATTATCTAGATTATCAATATCTATAAATATTTCAGAATGCAACTCAATAAATTAAGAATTCATTTTTCTTCCAACATAACCACAATGTCATTAACACATCTAAGGAAGAATGTACAGCTATTGTGATCCACTGCAAGGATGGAGAACCACTGCCCTACACAGCCTGCCTTGGGGCTTCCCATTTAGACCTCATCCACTGCTTTTTCTCTCTTTCATTCCCCTCAAACCACAGGGGCTGCCTTGCAGCATCTCAAACACTGCATACCTGGGAGCCTTTAGTCACCTTTTCTCTGTCTAGGTTGATCTTCTCCCATATAAACACACAGATTCATCCTTCATCCATTGTCAGTTTTTCAATAAGCCCCTCCTTGTCTACCCTATTTAAACTTGTAGCTCATCCCCTATCCACCTCATACCCTCCTTCTCCCCCTTCCATGCTTATTTTTATTCATGGCATTTATTGGGTTCCCAAATACTTACTGAATAAAACTGCATTCCCCCATCAGAATATAACTCCATGAGAGAAGGCTCCATGTAAATATTTGCTAAATGAATGCGTAAGTGAATGACTCAATTGGATAATATTATGCTGGCATGTAAGCCAATGAGATGATGGGATAAAGGGTAAAAAGTCAAATAAATAGATACTCTATTTTATAAAGCTTAGAGAAAAACAACAACGTTTGTAAACATGACAAGGTGAGAATAATTAATAGGTAATGCATTCACAGCAAGCTATTAATGGAAGCTAGAATGTTTGAAATAAAATCCTAAGCACTGAGGTTGACATCAGAAAGCACAACGGTTCGCTTTTATTAACAGTCCCTTGGGCTACTTGCACCATAGAATTAAGCCAGGTTGGTAAAAAGTGGTACTATACAATCATAAAGAAACAGCTGTAATGTGTAGGTCAAACTTAGCAGTACATAAATATGTATGCTTGTGTTCCACCTGCAAAAAAAAAAAATTAGGGTGAGCCAGTCCAGACTCAGGTAGGCGAAACCCCAAGCATCCTTGCTCACTAAGCATTCACATTCTCTTTCTCAGGAACTCTGATCCTGGAGTTCACTGTATGTGTTGTTGCTCTCATTGAGTCAGTAGCCTTCTTGGCCATCTTCCAGGTGTAGGAAACAGCAAGATAGCTGAGAATCTCCTAAAGGCTGAAGCTACACACTCAGGTGTAAAGGTACTAAAGCCATACTTCACTGCCTCCCTCCTCCAGGGCCAAGGAGGACATTTGGAAGCATTCTCTTTGGAAACCATACCTAAGACAGGTTGTTTCAGTTCAGACTTGGAACATTAAGTCTTGGCTTCCAATATAACAAGAGAGCTTACTCTCACTCTCCCAGGCTGCTAAGGCACAAGATGTCCTGTTTGTCATCTGGCAGATAAATATTCAAAGGCACCATCATTACGACAACAGAAGATGGGCTTGCGCGAGTAATGGTCTCCAGCCTGGCATGTGCTCCTCTGCATTAGGAATCATGGAAATTGGAGAGGGGTCCAGACAATAAAGATGCTTCTCACTCTCAATGCTAACATAGCACATATTGGACATCTCTTGAAACTACTGTGTCATCAAATCTTAGCAATTAGCCTCCAGAGTAACAGGCAAAAGTTTAGCAATGGATGCCACCCATGAGTAGGAGCAAAGGAGGGCATGATTTCCATACCCATTACAGGTGTGTTAGAAAACAAAACTATCACAAAGTCATTTATTCTGAAGTTCGCTTCCTGTGCTCTACTGTTCCCTGCATGAAGAGTTGCCATGCTTATGAACACAGACCTGTTTTGCATATGCAATTAAAAAGAAATGAAGTTTCACTTAAAACTCTAATGAATTTTATTTTTGGTTGTTTTGTAGCTTGGGGGTGATAGGGACATAGGCTTATCTTTCTATTAGAAAACATAGGAGATTATGCACATAACAATTAGACACTATAGATTCACTAATTTCATCCAGAAATATTAAAATAAGCATTATGCTAATGTGCCAATTGCCATAATTTGGCCCAACAGAACTCTCCTTTGCTCACTTGGAGAAAGATAGAGAACTGTGTATTTTCCACAGAACATGCCCGTTCTTCTCTTCTCTTTTGTATCTGCCAAAATATTGTTATCCACATTCATTCATTCATTTGGGTGGTCCAATGCAGTTGACTTCTCAAGTCCACAGGTGACTAGAAGGGGAGCTTGCTACTGCGGGTGAGTAAGGGCAGCTGATTCCCCTAAGGATGCAAGAAGGAGAACCCGGCCTTTTATATTTGCAACTTCGCCAAACCTTGTGTAAGTTTGTAAACACCATAAAATATGTTATGATGTTTACAGCATATGTCTCTTATTGTTAAGAACTATTGTGGAAGTATAAGCGAGTCTACTTCTTAAAATATTTTTATATAATAGTTATGGCATTCAATTATACAATAGTAATTGTGAATAATTATACCAAACCCCAGTCTGTTTTATGACTACTTCTCACACTGAGCTCACATACTCTATATAAACACCATCTGTATCAAACATAAAACTCTTAGTTGTTGTAAGAATACGGGCTTACAAAATGTAGCTTATTAGTTCTGGGGCCAAGCAGTTTCATGGCTATTGCGTAGGCTTCCACAATCCACATGAATCCGATGATCTTCTCCAGCTGTGTTCCGTTTCTTTGACTTGAAGCCTGGTTACCTTGATAGCATAGGATCATGGCAGAAATCATGGCCCACATGCCTGGAATGTTGACACACCTCTACAGTTCTGTTCAGCATTAAGTGCACTTACTTTGTGCTACAGATTTCTGCTCATTTCCTATATGTGTGATACAGATTTAGGTCCTTAAATTTGGCCAACAGGAATGCTTCCTAAATTTCCCTTCATGAAGTGCTATCAGGGTCTTTCGGTGCCCCTTCCAAGCTGTTCCTCCAGAAATCATCAAATGAAGTTTTCCCCCTGAAGAGGCCCCCTCACTATGTAAAAAGTTTTAACAATTAAACAGAACAGCAACTTTTAAAATATGACTGATCTCTGAACAATCTTTGGTCTAAGAATTTAAATCTCTATTGACAGCTATCTAACCTACTCAAGACAGCCTGACTTTGAGAAGACTGAACAAAGTACACATTTTGTCTCCAACAGATAAGTGGTTCTTCATCAGGAAACAAACTTCAAATACAACCTGCAAATAAACAAAAATATCTTCTCAGAAATTTAACCCAATCTAAGAAAGATAAGCTGTGCCCATTCTCAAAAGTCATTCTGCTCAGATTTGTTGCTTGTCTTTAGCCATTGACTAAGCCCAGTCAGCACATTTCCAGGTGTCTGATGATCTAGAAGTCAATATCATTGTCACCTTTTTAGCATTTTTTTTGAGATGTTTTCTCGCTGTGTCACCCAGGCTGGAGTGCAGTGGCATGATCTCAGCTCACTGCAAGCTCCACCTCCCGGGTTCACACCATTCTCCTGCCTTAGCCTCCCTAGTAGCTGGGACTACAGGTGCCCGCCACCACGCCTGGCTAATTTTTTGTATTTTTAGTAGAGACAGGGTTTCACCGTGTTAGCCAGGATGATCTCGATCTCCTGACCTCGTGATCTGCCTGCCTTGGCCTCCCAAAGTGCTGGGATTACAGGAATGAGCCACTGTGCCTGGCCTTTAGCATATTTTAGTCTTGAAAATTTTCCTTATTAGAAAGCCTGATCTCCTTGCTAACTAAGACTTTAGGATTTAAGCTATGAAAAAACATACTGTTTCTTCTCTCTTTTTTTTGTTACCAAATTTCTACCTCCAAGCAGCATAAGCAAAGGTTTTGTTGCATGCAAAAGGATATTGCATTTCCCCCATGGAATTAGTTTCTGATTTGGAAAGAACTATAGCTATATTCACATTGTTTGGCCAAAATATTCTGAACATCATTTAAAAGATGAAAGCTAGGTATGCCAGCATTTGGACACAATTTATAAAAGTGTTATTATGGACAAAATGGTGCCATTCCTTCCAGGTAACTGTCCAAATATCCAAAGATGGATGTCTTAATTTGGCATCCAAAATACACACAAGGGGTCAGACTGTATGTAGGTAATTTCCTCCGATGCTATTATTTGTCCCCTGGGATCCCACATACGCAATACCAATTATAGAGGAGAGGATTAAGAATAGGCCAAAAGGGTGAGGGCTGCAACAGCAGGCCTGAATGATTTGGACTAAGATCTTATATCAAATTTGCAAATTACCAATTAAGGCAGGTTTAGAACATGGCATCATTTTTGCTCACTGTGACAAACTGGAAATTAAGGCTCTCTCTGCATGTCAGAAGGATGACAGTAATGACAGAACAAGAAATGCTATCAGAAGCATCTTTCCTGGTAACAATATATCCTTAGACACAAGGCAAACTGCCTGGTAAGAAAAAATAAGCCAAAAATCTGAAAATAAACATAAGACCTGGATCTCAAAAAAACCACTACTCAGTTGCCTCTGGATACGTCACTCAAACACCTTGCAAATTAAAGCCTCAAATACCAGAATGCTCATACCTGGTGTCTGGATGAATATGTTCAAAACTGTCATTCACTTCTACCAGTTTTAGCACGTGACCATTTTCAAGGTAGCTTTAGTGTGCTGTTCATTTAAAACTAAGACAATAATAAAATCTTGTGGACTTGGGACATATCTCCTTTGACAAATGAGTGGTAGCATGCACCGCACTTAGTAAGGGGCATGTGGTCTCAGAAATTGAATGGTAACTCATGAAGTAGTATACAGTGTTGTTACTGCATAATTCCTGGGAAGATACATCCCCTATACTGTTAGATTTTTCATGCTCAACATTGGAGCGGTTCATTGGATTCCTTAAGTAATGTATAACAATGAACACCTACCCGATGCTCACCCATCTCAAGCTTCCTTAAATCTTGTTTTTCTTTTTAAACGTATAGAAGGATACTATGCCTTGGCACTTTTGTAGTACCTCCAGCCATAACACTTGAACCCCACAAGGCAAAGCTGTTTGCTTGACTATAAAAGAATGACAGAGAAGTAGGGAAAATAGACTGGAAACCATTCACACCAAAAAAAGTGCCATGTGGCATTAAGTCCCATTGAGAACGTCGGCTACTACTTGTGGCATTCACTCTGCCTTACTGCCTGCCTCGCCATGTGGAAAGCACGGACTAATGTTTCTGTTCAGTGTTGTGATGGATGTTTCATCTAGCTAGCTACACACACAAACATATATTTACACATCTTATATACAAATATATGATAGGCATAAATCTATATCAAATATATATGTCATACATATATGAATATTTGACCTAGAGCGAGGACATATCCATTCCATTTCTGGCTGTCCCTCTTAAAAACAAAGAGATATTGAAACAAGCCACCACCACCCCTCTGTTCCTCAGTTTCCTAATTTGTTACATGAGGTTAACTCTACCCTACCTAGAAAGGGAACCAAATGAAGTAATACACAGAAAACTGCTTTGAAAAGTCCAGAGTGCTATACAAATGCCAGGGATAATGATATGTTTCACAAAAGAGCATTATTCCTTTGCTAAGAAGGGTACATCCACATTCACGTTTTCTGTGAAGGTTCTTCTTTGAAATTAAATTGAGACCGTAACCAACATCTCTCCCAGTGCTGCCTGAGGTTTTACTCAGCAACAAAGCAAGGGCTTCTTTCATCCTTCATCACATTTGAGTTCAAGCACCAAGAGGTACTTTTTACCAGTGGTGAAAATAGCTTTCTTTTCACAGCAGAAACACAGAAAATGATCTCTCTCTTGATGCTAATGGAAGGATAAGGCTTATTCTACAGTTGCCACCACACACACACACACACACACATGAAAAAAACACCTTGATTGATTTGCTTTGGCTTTGTTGATGGTGTGTTCTTGCACCAGGAAGATGGGAGTGTCATGAGAAAGAGGAGAAAGCACATGAAGCGACGGCTTCATTTATCCATATGAATAATTAAATATTGAGATACATTTTCAAGTGGTCATCTTGTTCCACTTTTCTTTCAGCTTTCGGTGTCCCCTGGACACTCCCTTAAAAAAATAGATTAAACCCTTCAGCCTTCATGCATTCAATTAATTCTCATCATACCTGCCTTATTTGGATGCCTTCAGTGCTTTTTGAGTTCATCATAATTCCCCAGCAGATCTTCTACAAATCTGACCCCACACTTCCTCTCCAGTGCTTTTCCTACTCACCTCCACAAAAGCTGTTTGTCCAATTTTGTTTGATTCTCTTCTGCTGTTTTGAGGTGCCTGTGTTTTCAACCTGAATGGATTTTCTCTGCTCTCCCCTTGGCGGGAGATGTCTTCTACATCTACCAGGATGACTTTTATCTTGGCCTGTTCAGATCCTACACAACCTCCAAGGCACATCTTAAATGCCCATAATTTCATGTAGCTTTCCTTAATACCCCTAACCAATGGCAATCTCTCCCTTTTCTAAATACATTTTAATTTTCTCAGATTAAAAAACACACTTTAAAAATGGCTCTTATGGGTACACAGATCATTGTGTCTGGTGGGTATCTTTTCCACCCCAATAAAAAATGAAAGCTCCTAAAGGTCAGAATGGCTTTCTTTTATTATTTTATTTTTTAAACATTTATTATGAAAAATTTCAAACATATACAAAATAAACAGAAGGCACTGTTTGTTTTTGCATCTCTTTGGGACCTATCACAGTGTTTTGCATGTAGCAGAGGTAAATTTAAGTAATTAGAGCCTTAGGCAAATGGAGCTGTCTGTCTGCATATCTGATGCCGTTGTCTCCTGGATCGTTAAGCTTTTCCTCAGTCACACACACACACAACCCATACACCTGTAGGATCACAATCTACAAGGATTAAACCCGCTCACTGGCTTTAAAATTCAGGGAAAGTCTTTATTCTGAGGTCAGTTCAGATCATCAGTAAAGCTAACTGCATTTGAGGGGATGGGGAGAAAACATTTATATATTTAAGAATATTTTCTAAGAGAATTCAAGTCTGGTTGTATATCTGTTTGATTTTCTTTAGCACATTTTTTTATAAATGTGTAATACCTGAAGAATAATGTACAAATATGAGGGCTTTCTATTAATACCAGGTTTTCTTCACTTTGCATTCACATTTTTCAACGTCTTCCCTTCCCAAAACCTCAGACTCCTAAAAGTCTATTTTATATATTTTTTTAACTTGCGCCTACTTAGCCCATTTTTTGCTACTACTGAGTGAATGAGTGTGTGTGTGTATGCATGTGTGTGTGTGTGTGTGTGCGTGTATTTGGGAGAGCAGTCAGATCCTTAAAGTGAACCAGAATTCTGGAGTGATAGATTACATGTCCATGCTGTGTCATATCCAATTATCTCAAATTGACTGTACACTGCATTATTCTGTTAGTGCATGGAAGATCAATAAATATGAGGAAAAGCCACCCCAGCTCTCCACTTTCCCATCCGATTCTAGTAGGTCTGAGACGGATCATGCTACTGTGATGTGTACGCCACATCTAAGGCAGGCAGGTGGTGCATAGACACCATTCAAACTTGGCCTATTCAATCCCAACTCCTCTAACTCTCCATTCATGCATAGCAAAACACCATCTGGTCCTATTTTGCCTCCAGCAATCACAGCTGACCAAAAACGATAATAACAGCTGTTGCAAAACAAAAGCCAAACAAAGGGGGGTTGGCGGGGGCGGGGAGGAAAGGTTATATTGAAGTCCAGTGCTGAAAAATGCTCCATGAAGTGAGAAATGGGAAAGAAACCATTCAGATGTCTAAAGCTCACTGAATGGACACAGTGGAGGACTTCTACTTAAACTTGAGATATTAATCCATCTGTCTAGAAAGCCTTCAAACCTCCATCAGGTGGTAATATATTGCAGAAATTATGCTGCACGAAGGCATTTAAGCTTTTGTTCTCTGACTCGGGAACTAATGACCCCTTGTCAGCTAAAAATGAAAATGCCTTATGTTCTTTCATCATACAGCAGTACAGGTTAATGCAAAGAGAGAACATGTTTAGCCAGAGTAATAAAATAATGTCTACATGGCATTGGGAGAGACAAGGGGTGTGTGTGTGTGTGTGTGTGTGTGTGTGTGTGTGTGAGAGAGAGAGAGAGAGAGAAATGGAGGTGGTGGGGGTGGGGGGGGGTGTCTGTAGACCACTTAAGAGGGAAGGCATTTAGGCCATTTAGATATGACACTAATCAGATACCACATTTCTCATGTCTATTTTTCATTATCCTGATTTATTTCTGACCTGTAACAAAAGAAAAAGCGCACCAAGTACTTACTTAAGTCTCAGGAATAGAAACCAGTCATATGTATAAACTGAAATATAAATGGATATATAACATGCTTTGTGAATCCTGAAAACAATAATTTGGTAACAAGGTTGAGGAATTCTTTTCATGATTCAAGCCTTTTGACATTTTAAATATGTAGTTTTGCCTGGTGATTAATTTTATAAACTGTAGTCATTAAACTTTTTTTTTCCTCTGGAATTGACCATCAGTGGCTTAGCAGCATTTAATCAAATGTGATAAAACCCAAGATTTATAAAATCATTTAATAGATGTTACAACACCTGCTTCTAACTGCAAACAGTTGAAAACAGACTTCACTTGCAATTAAGTCTTATCACTAGTGACATTTTTTTCCAAGCAATACTTCATGGGTTTTCAAAATGACAATTACAGAACTAATACACAATTACTGTCACATGTAGTTTAGCAATTAATTTTGAAGACATCTGTCTAAAGGTTTCACAACAGAATATAAAATGGTTATTGTTATGTAATGTTAGTTTCAATTCACAGAAAATCTTTTACCATTCGAGCTCTACTTCTGAAGGATCTGATGCTAGCACATCATTTCTTTGTGGAATACAATCACTCCCTTGTAGATGTAATTAGGCATCATTCTAAGGCTGTTTGAACACTGATACCTGTCAACTAATACATCTTATGAAAAGCTTCAATTTAGACATAAATTTTTCTACAGCAAGAAATCCATAAATTTATAATTAGAATCTCTTGCTGTTCAATATTTGTACATAATACAGAGTAGGAGAGGATTATGAAATATTGAAAGCTGAATTCATTATTCATAACCCACAACATACAGTAAATAATCTCTGAAATACAACAACTTTGAGGGATCCATATTCCATTATTTTTGAATGTCTTGCACATAGTAGCTGTGGAGCGCACCACGCACACCCTCATTCTTTCCAGATTAGGATTCTGGTCAGGGTTGACACTTGCTGTTTTTAATTTTCATTTTATCATAAGCAGTTTAAGACTGTTGCCAGTGGTAATTTGCAATTTTTATCAAGACCTCTTCATTATAGCTTCTGACAGGACAGATGCTGTAATTAATCATGCAAGACAACTGGGGATAGTGGTCACACTGCTCTCAAAGAGGAACCGCTACAGAGCAAGAAAAGGGGGGAATAAATGGGCACCGAAATAATTATTTTGGCTTAAGAATTAGCATTCACCATCTATTTTAATCGCAATAACATTACAATACCCAGCTAGTTCTAGCCCCCTCAAAAAAGCGATTACTTTTTTCTCTATACTTACCTTGTACTTGCATCTTAAAAAAAAAAAAAAAAAAAAAAAAGACAATTACACAAATATTTCCAATGCGTTGTTTTGGTTTTTTCAAGGATCTTCATTTCAGGCTATGCAATGCATATTCTTGGCCATAAATATCATATTTCCAATTGAAAAATGGAAGATGATGTTTGGGCTAAAACGAAACTTGGTATGTGGCATATTTCCCCATCTTACATGTATTCAAGGAACCAAAAATGAAATCTGACATATCATTTTATTTGAAAAGTGAACAGTTTCTTTGTTGTTGCATCAAAATACAGTCCACAGTTTTTACTGAAATGTGTTTATTCTATAGCAAGATAAAAGCATTTTTGTTTTAGTTAAGCAAAATACAAACAACTTAATTGCTGCTATCATAACTCATAAAAAAGTATAAAACAGCATAAAAACACAATAAGCAACGTAGCAATGAATGGTTTATGTCACCAGTGTTTACGTTAAAGCCTCATTTAGGAAAACTTTACAGCACATGATATGAAAACTTACAACTTTGAAAGAAAATATTTACATTGATTATTCAGATGTGGTGTGCCTTTTAAATATTCTACTGGTATTACATCATAATAAAAACTCTTGCTTTTTCTTTTTAAATCTTAACTTTTGTAATAACTGTTTTCATTTAAGTGCATTTCCCTTTTAAAAATACAGTGTTTTTATTTTTCGAAACTTGTCACTCAAAACACGGAATATAGTATTCACATTTCTTCTAATTGGAATGAATATAATGGGCTAACAGTGGTCATAGATATTGTTACAACATATACTGTGGTTTGATTTGGAGAAGTCATGGATAAAAAGTGGAAATTAGTCAATAATTGAATTTAGTCACTTGCATTTTTTTTCTGGAGAGATTTAGGAAAAAAAATAAGAGCTTTGGCAAAAGTCTGTGATTTACATTATTTTTTTCATGACAAAAAAATGCCATCAACTATTCACGTCATACAAATGTTTGTATGAAACTGGATCTTCATATTTCAGGTAGTTACAACTGTGCTTTTTATTTTTAGGGCTTCAGGAGTTCAGATAGCCTGGAAGTGTGGTTTACTCACTTCTGGAGAAATAAGGCCATTTTTCTATGACTCAGAGAGGCCAGTTTATAGTCATCAGTATGTCCCAGGATTCATTAAACAGTTTGATTCACATATTGTAGGTATAGCCTGAATAAATAAAAAAGGCATCACATAAAAGAGCACAGCTTTTCTTGTTTAAAAACAAAGTGATTTATAGTCAGCTAAAAGATGTTACTCAGCTACACTGCAGTTCTTATTGCCTATCTAATAGACACTTGAGAGGACCGTTTGATCTGTTACACATTTCTGCATAACCAACACCAACTTACAGGTTTCAGCCACATATGCTTTTCCCTCCTATGCCACTCTCCTTGGTATACGCAAATCCGTCTGCCATATGCGTCTTCAGAAAATACTGACCTGCGATAATACTTGAGTCTGTGTCTGAGACTGTATTTGCGACTGGTGCTGCTGAGAGGCTGGCTGGGGGCTCCCGATGGCAGGGATGGGGGATGTTATCTGAGAGGCGACAGGGGAGTGCTGCCGAGGAGAAGGCTGAGACTGGTGCTGCATGTGTTGCAGCTGCTGCAGCTGGAGGCGCTGCTGCAGCTGCTGCTGCAGCTGCTGTTGATTAATTTGCTGCTGGAGATGCTGCTGCTGCTGCTGCAGGTGCTGCTGCATGTGGTGCTGGAAATGCTGCTGCTGCATCTGCTGCTGGATTTGCTGATGCATTTGGTGCTGCTGGAGTTGCTGCTGCTGCATCTGTTGCATCTGTTGTTGTTGCTGCTGCTGCTGCTGCTGCAATTGCATCTGATGCTGCTGGGTTTGCACCGAAGGACTCACTTGGGTGGAGGGTGCTGAGCCAACCATGGTCGTTCCCATGGAGCTTATCAGTGGAGCCCCAATGTTCGAGGGCATGTTGGCTGCAATGGTGACTGATGTGACAATCTGGTTCATGGGGAGTCTCATGGTTAAGGGTTTGGGAGCGATTGACCTAGGGAGGGATTGCTGGAGAGTCTGAGGTGATGCTGACACTGTTCCATGTTGAGACAGTGGAGTGTTGAGAAGGAGAGAGGATGTTAGATTGGTCGACGCCAGGGTCTGCTGAACAGAACGGATGGTCTGGGCTTCTGCTGACTCAGCAGCAGCCTGCATTTTGGGGGAGAAAATTCCAGACTGTTACAACACATAAGTATTTAAAATATTTAAGCATTTTTAGATATTATAAATTGATTTTTTTTAACGGCCACCATTATTCATGCCCTCCTGTATGTGTACTCTTTGTCTTGTGACTTTTTCACTCCTCCCTGAGGTGGAGTCAAATCCCCTACCTCCTTGAGTCTGGGCTGCTCTTGTGCCTTTGCTTTGGCTAACAGAATGTGATGACAGTGATACTGCTCCAGTTCCAAGACGAGGCTTCAAGCCTGCCCCTGCCATGTGCATGATGACAGACATGTGGCCCAATTACCCCCCTCAAGAGTCAGTTCACTGCCAGCCAGCCAACTGTGATCAATGTGAATGAGTCCAGCCCCCTCCAACATGCAAGCTGACCCCAGACAGAAAAGCAAGACTAGCTGGTTCTACCAATCCTGGCCTAGATCTGAAGAACCAGTCAGCTAACTGGCACTCTCTGAGGATAAATGCTCATCTTACATCACATCATTGAGCTTTGGGGATGGTTGTTACACAGCACTATTGTGGCAAAAGATAACCGATACACATATTTAAGAGCAACAATTCTTCTGCATTTAAGTCTGTACTAACGACTTTACCATTGAGTACCATATGTTTAAAGACAACAGAGTACAGGCTGCCTGAGTTCAAATGCAGTTCTCTGACTTAACAACTTTGTGACATTGGGCAAGTTAATTTACTCATCTGTTCCTGTTTCCTTATCTGTAACATTGGGTTATATGGTATTTTTCTTTCTTTCTTTTTTTTTTTTTTTTTTTTTTTTTTGAGGTGGAGTCTCTCTCTGTCACCCAGGCTGGAGTGCAGCGGCGCGATCTCAGCTCACTGCAACCTCTGCCTCCTGGGTTTGTGCCATTCTCCTGCCTCAGCCTCCCAAGTAGCTGGCACTACAGGTGCCCACCACCACACCCAGCTAATTTTTTTGTATTTTTTAGTAGAGACAGGGTTTTACCATGTTAGCCAGGATGGTCTTGATCTCCTGACCTCGTGATCTGCCCACCTCGGCCTCCCAAAGTGCTGTGATTACAGGCGTGAGCCACTACCCCTGGCCAGGTTATATGGTATTTTTCTTGTGCAGAGGTTGTGAGAATTAAATGAACTCACATGTTAAGCATTTAGGAAAGCGCCTGGTCCATAGGAAGCAATAAATATTAGCTATTTTTATTAGTTAACAGTTACTATTACCAGAAAATGGCCACTGGAATACTTGAAAGCCCTGTGTTGTGTGATTATTTATAACAAGGTTCACTCAAGTATAAGAAAACCATTATTGGTTTC